>NC_000022.11:31891382-32042897 GCF_000001405.40 Homo sapiens | reverse complement strand
TAGGAGCCTAGAGGCTTCAGATCACCTGCCACCCATCCTTGGACTAGTCCCATGCCTTCTAAGGACTTGGCTTGTCCGCTTGTAAAATGGGTGCAGCACTCTTCTGAAGAATCAGTCAAGTCTTGTTCTCCCTGGAGAACATTCTTGAGAGGACAGAGAGTTGCTGGGTGTCACTGGAAAAAAACCAGCACAATCCTAATCTCTTGGCCACAAGGACAGCCACCCACCCACCCACATTCCTGACTCCCCCTCCACAGCCTGCAGCCCCCAGGTCCACTGTTACCCCCACTGTAAAGAGGAAGAAACTGAGACTGGGGGAAGGGATCTCACCGGGAGCTATTTCCTTGCCCTGTCCCTCTCCCAGTATTGATGCAGGGCCCTCCAGAGGCAGCAGAAGGGAAGATACTAGAGAACCCTTTCCAAGGAGTTCATCAAACCCTGACCTTCCTGGGGACTCAGCTCACCCATCTGGAAACACATGTCTAAACAGCAAGCCAGGGCTCAGAACAGAGATGACCAAGAGAGGAGGCATGACTTGCCCAAGGTCATACAGGAAACCAGCAGCAGAGCTGGCCCTGCAGCCCATGCCAGGGTTCAGAGGGAGGGCTGTGGGGTATTCTCAGGGGCTGGCTCTAGAGGCCACAGAGCAGCCAAAAGTGACTGTTCCCAAAGAGGGGGGCCTTGCTCTGATGGGGAGGTGCAGGGAGGCAGAGGACCACAGAAACCCTGCCAGGACTCTGGTCTGCCTCAGGCCCTCCCTGCCCACTGCTAGACAACCACCCACTGCCTAAATGTGAGCATCCTGTTCCTTTGCACTCAATGCTTCAGAGGTCTGCCTCCCCTCCTTCCGTATCAGCAACTGTTCTTCCCACTGAAGCTGCAGACAAAGAATCATTATTTGGACAGCATCCCCACAGGTCTTCCCCATTTCCCCCACACATCCCCCAGGACTGCAAACTATATAAGGCTATGTCCTGGGGCCAGTATAATGCCTGCCCAAAGGAAGCAGGAATTCTTACGAGGAACCTGAAAGCAGGGGCTGTCTGCTGTGGATGCCTCCCAAGACTTAGAGCTCAGCTGTCAGCTGCAGCTTGGAGCAACTCGCCTTTTGCCTGTGTTCATTCATTCCTGCATTCAGCCAAGTTTTTTCACCTGAATGTATCCCAGGAAGAGTCCCTGCCCTTAGGAAGCTTCTGTTCTAGTCTGGAAGTGAACCCACCCACAGGAAAAGTCCAGCCCTGAACCCAGGTGCAGGTGCAGGCAGCCAGGCCATGCCAAGTTCCAAAAGTACAAGGCATAGAAAGTGAAGCGAGCAGGAGAGAGAACTGGAAGTACTAAAGGACTTCAAAGGAGGGACAGAGCCATTCTTTGATCTTTTAGGAGAGCCAAACATAAATGGGAAAAGAAAGGAAAGGATGGTGCCCAGGTAGAGGTCAGAAAATGCATCCATTCATTCATTCATTTATTCTTACAACAAAAGAGCAGCTTCTATGTGCCAGATCATATGTACCGACCCTGGAATACAGCTATGAAAAGACACAGAGCTCTTGCCCTCACAGAGCTTCCTGACCAATGACAGAGATAGATCAGCATCAAAGATGAGACAACTACCTGTGAAATTACCATTGTGACACATGCTTTGAAGGAGAAATACTAATACCCCAAATGCCTACCAAGGAATTCAACCTGGGGATAAGGTGAGGTTAGAGTAAGTTCTGTGAAAGCTCTGGTTTGAGCAGGGACCTGAAAGAAAAGGAGGAATAGGCCAAGTAAGCTGGGAGTGAGGGACATTCCAGGAGATGACAAGCATGAGGAGTAAGGAAGGGGTTACAATATTTAGGGAGGGACTAGCTGGGGCTACAAATAAACATATATAAAAAGCATGTCACCTGTAAGAAACTCCCTACCACAGTCATTCCCCAGGCTGCCTGAGGCCCTTTTGCCATCTCTCTTCCTCATTGGTCTCTTCTAAAGGGACACTTCAAACCCAATTTCCCCTGAATGGATGCTTCTAGGAGAACACAGTGTGATGCCCACCTGCTCCCATGCAGCTGGCCTGAGCTGCTGGGTCACTGCTCACTGGTAGGATCCTGTTGGACTCTCTCTTGCCGTCATTGGTGCCAATCAAAACCAGGATCTGGTCACTAAAGGGGCCCTTGTTAGCAGAACACCCGAGAAAGAAAAAAGCCAGCCAGACACTCAGGCCGCAGGAAAGATGAGGCTGATAAGGAAAGACAGAGCTGAGAGCAGGAAGCAGCCCCCTCCCTATCCAAGTATACATAGGTTTACAATCAGTGGTCAGACAAGGATTCCACATTTAAAAATAGATGCCCACAGAGCCACAGCCATACCTGACTGTCAGAAAAAGAACAAATATTCAAATGACTCTGAGGTCACTAGTGTCTACAGATGGCAGGGAGAACCCAGCATTATGCAGGGTAAGGACTCATCACTATGTGGGAACTGTCCTGTCTCCTCTTCCTCCTTCCACACTCATCTGTCCAGGACCCTTGGGGGTTCCACCTCTCCTACCAGCCTGGGAGCTTCTCCCCAGGAGACCCAATGGTACAATGTCCACCTCTCACTGGCTAAACTGTGCTTCTTGGCAAAGGACCCCACAGTGGAATGGCCAGCTCCTGAACTCTTGCCACACAAAGAAATCAACAGCCTAAGTGCAGAGTCTGTGAGTTTTGGGAAGTAAGGGGCTGAAGAGAGAACCTACTTGGCTAGTTTGATTCTCAGCTCAGCTACCAACAAGCAGTAGACCATTGACAGCTCACTTGGCATTTGCAACCCTCTCTTTGAACATCTGTAATACAGCATTGACAGCAATGACTCTCTCAAATGATGGGTGTGAAGGGGCCTCATTGACAATGAGACACCAGCAAAGATGAGGGATGAAGAGAGCTGCTATAATTTTTTCTTCTTTCCCTTTTTTTTTTTTTTTTTTTTTGCTGTTGTGCCAGATTTATTGAAAATAATACAGCACTGCAGAAAAAATTCAAACAGGTCCCCGAGGCATTTTGAAGTTCATCCCAACTGTAGGCTGAGTGACCTGCAGGTTGGACAGACTGCCGAAGTCCAAAAGCTTCAGCATTTCCTTAGTGTCAGGATCTACTTCAATTATCTCCTGATCCAAGGCTGAGACCTCAGGAACATAATTGTCTCTCCTTTCTCTCTCCTCCTCCTGCAGCTTGATGGAGATACCTCTTACTGGGCCTCTCTGAATCCATTTCATCAGATGCGTGACATAGCCTGCTATCTTGTTGCGGAGCTTCTTGCTGGGGATAATGGCGATCTCCTTGCACACGCGCTTGTTCGTGTGGAAGTCGTTGCCCAGGCGTGTGTAGTACTTTTCTATGATGACCCGGGCCGCCTTCTTCACGGTTTTGGTGCAAACGCGGCACATGTTGGCGGGTCCTTGGTAAAAGAGCTCTTTCCCTTTTTCTCATTGGGAGTTCAGTTGTGGAAAGCCCAGAGAAGCAGGCTATCGATTAGCATACAGTCACGTGTCACTTAACAACAGGATATGTTCTGAGAAATGCGTCATAGGAAGTTTCACCCTTGTGGGAACATCACAGAGTGTCTTTACACAAACTAGATGGGATAGCCTACACACCTAGGCTGTATGGTATAGCCTGTTGCTCCTGGGCTACAAACCTGTACAGCAGGTTACTGTAGTGAATACTGTAGGCAACTGTAACACAATGGTAATGATTTGTGTATGTAAACCCAGAAAAGTTACAGTAAAAATACAGTATAAAAGAAAATAAATGGAGCCAGGAGCAGTGGCTCATGCCTGCAATCCCAACAGTTTGGGAGGCCAAGGTGGGAGGCTTGTTTGAGCCCAGGAGTTTAAGACTAGCCTGGGCAACATGGTGAAACCCCATCTCTGAGAAAGAAAAAGAAAGAAAGAAAGAGAGAGAGAGAAAGAGAGAGAGAGAAAGAAAGAAAGGAAAGAAAGAAGAAAGAAAGAGAAAGAGAAAGAAAGAAAAAGAAAAGGAGGGAAGGAAGGAAAGAAGGAAGGAAGGAAGGAAAACTAGCTAGGCATGATGATGTGAAGGGAGGGAGGGAGGGAGCCTGGGAGGTGGTGGCTGCCATGAGCCATGATCACACCACTGCACTTCAGCCTGGGCAACAGAGCAAGACCCTGTATCAAAAAAAAACAAAGATAAAAATGGTACACTTGTATAGGGCACTGACCATGAATGGAGCTTGTAGGACTGGAAGCTACTCTGGGTGAGTCAGTAAGCGAATGGTGAGTGAATGTGGTCTAAGACATTACTGTGCACTACTGCAGACTTTAAAAATACTGGACACCTAGGTTCACTAAATTTATTTTTAAAATACTTTTCCTTCTTGAATAATAAACTTAATTTGCTATAACTTTTTAACTGTACAAATCTTTTGTTTTACTTTTTGATTCTTCTGTAATAAGTTAGCTTAAAACACAAACACATTGTACCACTGTACAAAAATATTTTTTCTTTATATCCTTATTCTATAAGATTTTTTCTATTAAAATGTTTTTTTTACATTTGCAACTTTTTCTTAAAAATGAAGACACAAACACACACATTATCCTTGGTCTACACAAGGTCAATTATCAATTCAATTATCTCCTGATCCACATCTTGCCCCACTGAAAGGTCTTCAGGGGCAATAACACACAAGGAGCTGTCATCTCCTGCGGTAACAATGCCTTCTTCTGAAATACCTTCTGAAAGACCTACCTGAGGCTGTTTTACAGTTAACTGTTTTTTTATAAGTGGAGTATACTATAAAACAATGAAAAAGCATAGTAAATACATAAACCAGTAACATAGTCATTGGTTATCATTATCAAGTGTTATATACTATAGATAATTGTATATGTTATACTTTTTTAAAGTGCAAATGCACTTTTTTATTTTTTATTTCCATGGTTTTTTGAAGAATAGGTGGTATTTGGTTACACGAGTATGTTTTTTATTGGTGATTTGTGAGATTTTGGTACACCCATCACCCGAGCTGTATACACTGAACCCAATTTGTAGTATTTTATTGCTCACCCCTCTCCCCGTCTTTCCCCTGTGTCCCCAAAGTCCATTGTATCTTTCTTATGCCTTTGCATTCTCATAGCTTAGCTCCCACTTATGAGTGAGAACATACAATGTTTGGTTTTCCATTCCTGAGTTACTTCACTTAGAATAATAGTCTCCAATTCCATCCAGGTTGCTGTGAATGCCATTAATTTCTTCCTTTTTATGGCTGAGTAGTATTCCATCATATATATATATATATACCACAATTTCTTTATACACTCGTTGGTTGATGGGCATTTGGGCTGGTTCCACATTTTTCTAATACTTTTATACGTCTGGCAGTACAATAGGTTTGTTTACACCACCATCATCACTGCAAACATGTGAGAAATGTGTCGTGCTGCCATACTACAACAGCTACAATGTCAGGAATTTTTCAGCTCCATTATAATCTTATGAGATCACTGTTGCATGTATGGTCCATCATTGACAGAAACGTTGTTAGGTAGTACACAGCTATATTTGTTTCGTGTGGCTGCTGTAACATATTACCATCAACTTAGCGGCATAAGACAATAGAAATTTATTCTCTTATAGTTCTGGAAGGCAAAAGTATGAAATCAGTTTCACTGGGCTGAAAGCAAGGTGTTAGCAGAACCACACTACTGAGGTTCTGGGGGACAATCCTTCCTTGCCAGCTTCTAGTGGCTGCCAGCATGCCTTGGCTTGTACCATATCACTCCGATCTTTGCCTCTGTGGGGGCTGGTGGGTAAACATAACATAAAGGTTACCATAATAACCATTTTTAAGTGTACTGTTCAGTAGCATTAAGTACACTCACAATGTTGAGCAACCACCACCATCATCCATCTCCAAAACTTCCCCAACTGAAACTCTGTACTGTTAAACGCTTACTTCCCATTCCCCCTCCTCCCAGCCCCTGGAAACCACTGTTCTACTTTCTGCCTCTCTGAATTTGACCATTCCTGGTACCTCATATGAGTGGAGTCACAATTTGCCTCTTATCTTCACATCACCATCTTCTCTGTGTCTGTCTCCCTCCCTCTGCCTCTCCTTTATAAAGCCAGTTTTGATGGCATTTAGGGCCCATCTAGATAATCCAGGATGATCTCTCCTCATCTCAAGATTCTTAGTTTAGGCCGGGCATGGTGGCTTACACCTGTAATCCCAGCATTTTGGGAGGCCAAGGTGGGCGGATCACCTGAGGTCGGGAGTTTGAGACTAGCCTGGCCAGCATGGCGAAACCCCATCTCTACTAAAAATACAAAAGTTAGCCGGGCATGGTGGCAGGTGCCTGGAATCCAGGTACTCTGGAAGCTGAGGCAGGAGAATCACTTGAACCCGGGAGGTGGAGGTTGCAGTCAGCCGAGATCGTGCCATTGCACTCCAGCCTGGGCAACAGAATGAGACTCCATGTGACAAAAAAAAAAGAAAAAAAAGATTCTCAGTTTAACCATATTTGCAAAGATTCTTTTTCAAAATACAGTAGCATTTACAGGTACCAGGGATTAGGACTTGATATCCTTGAGTGGCCATTATTCAGGCTATTACAATCAGACATCTGAATGGGGAAGGATTTGCTGGAGAAAGCAGAATTGGAGATGCTTTGAAGTGGGGGAAGGAGCTGCTGGAGGGGGTGAATCCAGGCCCAGGGGTAACAGCTGAAAAGTTACCAGGTAAAGAGAGGGGCCAGAAAATGAAACTATTGAGCTGGCCTCAGGCTACCCTGGGGAACTGATGTCTAGGCATGGGGGCAGTGAAGAGGGAAGATGGAAAGCTGAAAGAGACAAAGCGCTCCTGACCCTTCCTCTAAAGCTGAAGTCAATAAGAGGTTGACCTCTGGTGGATCTGAGCCCCAGCTCAACCCCTGACATGCTGAGTGACCTTAGGCAAATCCTTTATGTCCTCTGAGTATCACCTCTACAGTGGAGATCAAATTTGATATAATAGAGGCTGGCTTAGTGCCTGCCATGCATGTCAGCTTTGGATTGGAACCAGAGCCCAGGTTACTGGAACTGCCTCATCCTCTAGACCTCAAATCCCAGACTGGCTTCAGAGAGGAGCCATGGGGTAAGAAGCTGCAAGACACCCACCCAGCCTACCTTCCCCAGAGCCCTTCACAGGGAACTGCCTCAACACTGTCCTCAATCTGGGGCAACAGGAAGAATGTGTTGGGTGGAAGTCGGAGGCCTGTGTTCAAGAGCCGGTTCCTCTGGCCTTAGGCAAGTCATTTCCCTCTCTGAAACTGTCTCCGCACCTGTCAAATTTGGCAGAATTTGACCAGCAGGTCTCTTAAGAAGGATCCTGGTGCCAATTCTGACTCTAACCAGGCTCCTGAAGCTCTCTGGGCCTCCATCTATTGTCTGTTTCACTGGGGACAATAAGCCCTGGATAGTTGCATGTCAACCTTACTTCATCCTAAGTTTCATCCCCTGCTATATCTGCCAGGCCCAGGGATGACATTTTCTATTACTCACCACCATTTCTAAAAGCACAAAGTGGGAACACAACCATTGCTGGTAGAGCAGCAAGCTTCTTCCTGGACACTTATCACCCAGTAGACTCAGCAGGGGCCTCACAGTTGGGCACACTTGGCTGCAATTCTGGCTCACCCTCTCATTATCTAGGTAACCTCACAATACATTGTCTAACTTCTGAGGACCTCATTTGCAAAATGGAGATGATAACATCTAAGATAAATGAGAGAGCATATGGAAAATGTTTCAGCACACTGACAAGCACATATTTAATGCTCAATAAAATGATTCACTTTTATCTTTCTTATTATTGACACCTTATCTAGACTCAAAGATGGAGTCTTGAGGTGGGGCCCTGACCTCACAGAGCAGGAGACAGACACAAAGAAGAATATATGAACTATGTCTTGTGACAAGGGGTACAGCTTCAATCTTCACAATGACCCTATTGCTATCCCCATTTTACCGACAAAAGCACTGAGACTCAAAAGGGTTAAGTTACTTGACCGAAATCCCTCGGCTGGTAAAAGGCCAAGCTGGCGCTCAACTCCCTGTACCAAAGCCTGTACCACTAGTGCAGAGAGGAGGAAGAGGAGGGAATACAGCAAGGAGAAGTGAAGCCTTAGTCCCAATTCTGAGGCTACTCCAAAGCCAGCATCCCTCTAGTCCTTCTCCCACTTCACCTCCAGTTTGACACTTGGACCCAGCTGTACGAAAGTGAGAGGCATTTCAATGAGTCATTAATTATAACAAATGCAGGCAAAAGTCAGCAGTGTAATGTAGGCATCATCGTCTGCCAAACACCTTGGTTTTCTGAAAACTCAGAGCCCAGGATGAGAGCAGGTGGAGTGGGAAGGTTAGATGTCACTCAGCACCTGCAGAAGTCGTCTCTCTGTGAGCCATGTCTCAGTGTGACTGTTACCCCACAGACCTCAGCTCCCTCTGCAATGTAAGATGAGGCAGAGAAGCAGCTCCCGAGAGGAGGTGGCCCACAGGCCTGCAGGCACTGCTGAGGACCTCACCACGGCACTCACCTGTGAGCCTCATCCCCCACACTGCCAGCTGACCACCCTTCAGTCAACCTGCCAGTGAGGCTGGGATTCCAGGAACACAAAAACCAGGCCAGGCACAGTGGCTCACACTTGTAATCCCAGCACTCAGGGGGCTGAGACAGAAGGATCACTTGAGCCCAGGAGTTAGAAACTGCAGTGAGTTATGATGGCATCACTGTACTCCAGCCTGGATGAAAGGGCAAGACCTTGTACAGTGATTAGTGTTTCTTGCTTCAGAGACAGGTGTGACCTCTTCAGAGGGTGGTACCAGCCTCTGTAGGCCAAACTCCTGAATTGAGCAGGTAAAAACATGCTCCTGCCTGAGTTGGAGGAATGAAGGAACATCATCCAAAGGCCCAGTGTTACTTCCCATATCTTGGAATTATGGAACTGGGGCAGATGAGTGGATCATCTGAGGACACTGAGCCCAGGAAAGAGGTGAGGCTTACTCAAGGTCACAGGTCATGACAGTGGCAGAGAATCCCGGGGCTCTGCTTCCCACCACAGGTTCCCTCTCATTTGGCAAATAACTTATCAAGCACCAGCTGTTTTCAGGGTACAATGGTGCTGCAACTTGCCTCTGTGCTCCTTATGTTGTGCCTTCTGTTTGGCTCTTCCAGTTTGCCCCTTCAAAATTCCAGGCACATAGTAGGAGCATGATTATTTATTAGTAATATTGGCTTATTAATTGGATTGTTATGTTATCCAGTTAATAAGCCCACATGTAATAGTTAATACTATTAATACTATTACATGCTAATGAGATAATTATATTATCCAATTAATAAGCCAATATTAGTAGTTAATACTATTCATACTATTACATACTAATGAGATAACATGGTATATGCTTAGCACAATGCATATGTTATATCATTAGTCATTACAATAAATTTGTGAAATAGATATTGTGACCCCTGTTTTACAGAGGAGAAAACTAAGTCTTAGAATGGTTAATTTGTTCAAAGTTACACTACTAACAAGTGATAGAGCTTAGACTCATACTTAGGTCTATCAGACTCCAAAACTTTCTTCAATAATTATTATTTTTATTTTTTAGAGACAGGGTCTTGTTCTGTTGCCCAGGCCAAAGTGCAGCGGCATGAGCATAGCTCACTGTAGTCTTGAATTACTGGGCTCAAGTGATCCTCCTGCCTCAGCCTCCCAAGTAGCTGAGACTGCAAGTGTGCACCACCATGTCTGGCTAATTTTTAAAAGTTTTTGGAGAGATGGGGTCTTGCTATCTTGCTCAGACTGGTCTTAAACTCCTGTCCTCAGGCAATTCTGCTGCCGTGGCCTCCCAAAACTCTGAGATTACAGGTGTGAGGCAACACATCCAGCCTCTGTTCAAGAAATTGTTGCTGAAAGAAAGAATGAATCAGTGAGCAAAAGGCACCATACTGGGCTTATGGGAAGCATTTGGACCAGTTGTTTATGTATTTTGCTAATGCATCCTGCTAGGTGAGGAAACAGGTACATAAATACTAAGGCCTAATATAGATCCACCCATAATAGGTTCAGAATAGTGCTTTGAGGTTCCAGAGAAGGGAGCAATTTCTTCCATTGGGAGTGGAGTGTGAGGAAGTTTAACGGGTGAGAGGGCATTTGAACCAAGCCAAGTAGGATTCGGACAGGAAAAGGTGGCAGATGGGGCAGTGGGCAAGGTAGTCCCGCAAACTCATTGGAAGAAACAGCACTGATGAAATTCAGGAGAAGGGAGATCCTGGGGCAACCAGTCCAGCTGAGCTGGACTAAGGATGTGTGAGGAGAGGAGGTGGGGGGATGGGAAGCCAGAAACAGGTTGGCACCAGGTAGTGGAGGACCTTGAATATCAGGCTGGGGCCTTTGGGTTTTCTTCAGTAGATGTGGGGAGCCCCTGACAATTTTGGGTCAGAGAGTGACATGGCTCATTATGCCGGATGGAGTGAAGGAAGGAGAGACTTGGAGGAGGGAGACCAGAAGAGACTGTTGCAGTAATCCAGGGAGGGATGATGTGGCCTGGCCTAGAAGAAGCATTCTAAAGGAATACTCCATGGGGTCCAGAAACTGGCTAAGGGATGAAATGCGTGCAAGAGTCAAAGAAACAGCATGGGGTCAGAAGGCCTGAGTTCTGATTCCAGCTGAGTCACATGGCCTCCCTGGGCCTCCCTGTCCCACTTGTGAAAGGTAGGGGATGAGTTATGCCATGTTTAGCGGCTTTTCCAGGGATTATGTTCAAAGTACTCTCTAATTTCCTGGTCTTCAAAAGATGCTGAGCGAGTTGTGACTGAGGCAAGCAGATTTTGGAGGTGCAGACCAGCTGGCTTCCTTGGGGTGGTGAGCTGATTCTGAGCTCCTCTGTGAGGTAGCTGAGTATCCGTGTATAGTGTTACACATGGATAGTCAGGAAACTGCAATAACCGTGTTAGCTACTCTGCTCCCTTAAGCGTTTTTTGCAGCAGAGGTGTGTTGGCATGACTTAGGTTATTGCCTAAATTGTGTATCTCCAGAGAGGGGAGTGTGCGGCTTCTCGACTTCTCAAAGTACCAACTCACTAGTCGATAAGGCTCAAGTTATGGGACTTGCAAAGGATCACAGAGAAAGATCTAAAGTGTCAGAAATCTAGAGAACTCCCCGGAGTCTCCTCTCAGTTCCTCCACCCACAGGCTGTCAACGCTTCAGGTTCCATCCAGAACCTGAGTCTGACACAGCTGGAGATGTGGTGAGAGGCCCCAGTAGCATGATGCAGGAACCCCAGAAGCTTAAAGGCCAATGGGCTGAGGAATTAGGAAGATGGTGGAGGCAGGTTGCTGAGAAGCAGAGAGGGGAGGGGACTTGTTAGGGTGACACAGTGAGTCAGGTGAAACAAGGACTGGAAGCCAGAGTTTTGAGTTCTTTCTCAGATGTTTCTTTATTCTTTCTTTCCCCAAGGACACCCTCTCTGGGCATATATATACACATATGTGTGTATATGTATGTGTATATGTATATGTACAGAGTGACACCCTGTCTCAAAAAATATATGTAAATATATACACATATGTAAATATATATGTATATATGTAAAAAATATACACATATACATACACACACACACACACACACACATGTCTCACTTTGTAGCCCAGGCTAGAGTGTGAACACCACTCACTGCTGCCTCAACCTCCTAACCTCAAGTGATCCACCCACCTCAGCCTCCCAAAGTGCTGGGATTATAGGCATGAGCCACCACACCTGGCCAACACATATTTTTAATGTGCATTTATGAGCAATGGGTTCAAAATCTAGTTATGTCCTTCATTAGCTGTGCGATATTGGGCGAGTTACTTAATCTCTCTAAATCTCAGTTTCCTTATCAACAAACTGAGGATGACAGCACCTATGTCATAGGGGTATTGTGAGGATTAAAGGAGATAATGTGTGCAAAGCACTTCCTGCAATGCTGTATAAATGCTAGCAAGGAATTGATTAATGATAGCTCTTTTATTCTTCTTCTAACAATGGTCTCTCAGAGAACCACTGCTTTGGTCTAAAGGAGAGAAGGTTTGGTGCAAAGTCCGGAACTTCACCCTCTTACCTGGACCTGCTCCACTGTCCTGTATACTTTGTTTCCTTCCCTCACAACTTTGGACTTGTCCTGGCTCTGACTGTCCCTTAACACCCACACACCCACCCACACACACACACACACACACACACACACACAAAGTGGCAAATTGAGAGCGCTTCAAGCCACCTTCAGGTCATGTAGGCATTTTTTTGGAAGGAGGTTTCTAAAGACAGTCCCTCTCATACTGCCTGTCCTTGGGAGGGGGCTCCAAAGTGATTTTCAGGGTACCCAAGATACCTCTTTTTTTCCCAGTTTTAGGATAGCCAACTCCCTTGTTTAATACCTTCGTTTTAGAGTGCTTCCTTCCACACGGTGAGGGCCCCTTGTTCTCCCAGCCCTTCTATGGGCATAACAGTCATACTCCTTCCCCCTTGAAGAGAACGGCACACATTCTAAACTCTTCCACATCTTCCACCTTCCTTTGAGCCTCACCTGAAGATAGATAAGTAAAGATGATTGCTGGCACTTGATGCATGGGGAAACTGAGTCCCAGAGACTTGAAGTGACTCATCCAAGGACACAAAGCAAGTTACTAGCAGACTCAGGACTTAATTCCAGAAATCTTGATTCCTAGTCCAGTGTTCTGGCCTTTATATTCCTGGAAGAATTGCTATGGCTAGATTAATTGGCATCCACGGACTTTAATCACACAGTCCTAGGTCTGTCTCTCCAACCTTCATTCTCATTCCCTTCATGCTTCCCCCTCAGGGGCCTTTGTACTTGCCCTTTTATCAAGGAAGCCTTTCTGCCAGAAATCCATGTGGCTCAATTAATTCTTCTTTCCTTTGACACCATCAGGAAAGACCCTCCTTGGTCACCTTTCTTCTTCCTGGCCCTCTTTATCTCCTTATTCTGCTTTATTTTCCTTCCTAACACTTAGTATTGCTGGACATATCATGTTCTTATTTGCTTGCTTTTTAAAACCTATCTTTCACAATTAGAATCAGAATAGGGACTGTTTTCTTCACTGCTGTACCTATAGTGCCTAGAGGAGCATGTGTGGCACTTAGATGTCCAATAACTGTTTATTGAGTTGTATGAATATATAGTAAATATCCATCCAAACTGGACCATTCAGGTTCCCCTGCCTTTGCCCATGCATTCTTTCTGTCATGTCAGAAAGTCTTTATATATTAAATGGGCATTTTACTGTTGCTTCCTCTGTAAAGCCTTTCTTGGTTCTTCAAAGATAATGCTGGAAGCGGTGTACACACCTGTAATCCCAGCTACTCAGGAGGCTGAGATGGGAGGATTACTTGAGCAACCCTCAAGTAGCTGGGATTACAGGTGAGCTCGAGGCTGCAGTGAGCTACTATCCTGCCACTGCACTCCAACCTGGGTGTGACAGAGTGAGACCCCATCTCTCTCTCTAAAAAAAAGAAGATGATACTGCTAAACGCGTTAAACTCAGAATACAAAATCACCTGCTACTGTCATCTCCCATCTACACCTGTACTATGGAGGTGCACATCTCTGTATAATGCATTATAAAAATCGCAGCCTTGAACTGGTAAGCCAAATGTCAAGTTACCCTCTTGTTGAATGAAAAAAAAAGAAAGAAAAAAAAGAAAAAAACAAACCAAAGCAAAACTTGCCAGTAGAGTCACCTCTTGTTTCACAGATAGCCTCTTTGACATCCAGCATTATAAAGAATGGTTAGATATGAGTTCTGCCCAAATTCACTTGTTTTTTTCTAATTATGCCTGAAATATATTATTTTATTTGGGAAAAAACCCGAGGAGGCAATATAGATAAGCCAAAAATAAAAAAGTTTTATTATTTTAAAAAATTTTATGGGGTCTTGCTATGTTCCAGGCTGGTCTTGAACAACTGGCCTCAAACAATTCTCCTGCCTTGGGCCTCCCAAAGTGCTAGGATTACAGGTGTGAGCCACCATGCCTGGCTGAAAGTCTTATTCTTAAAACCATATTTTAGAAATTGTCACTGTTAACATTTGGAATATATGTTCTTTCAGACTTTAAAATATATAAAATAAAAGGCCGGGCACAGTGGCTCATGCCTGTAATCCCAGCACTTTGGGAGGCCGAGGCAAGTGGATCACCTGAGATCAGGAGTTCGAGACCAACCTGACCAACATGGCGAAACCCCATCTCTCTATTAAAAATACAAAAATTAGCCAGGCACGGTGGTGGGTGCCTGTAATCCCACCTACTCGGGGGCTGAGACATGAGAATAGCTTGAACCCGGAAGGCAGAGGTTGCTGTGAGCCGAGATTGCGCTATTGCACTCCAGCCTGGGAAACAGAGCAAGACTCTGTCTCAAAAAACAAAGAAACAAATATATAAAATATAATATAGCTATATATTACATACATTAATAATAAGTATCACATATTTGCAAAATTGGATTGCACTGTGCATTGAATTTTGTAGATCTACAACATATTTTTAAATGACCACAAATTATTCTAGCATATTGATATATTTATATTTACTTAATAAATTCTGTATTTTGGGACGTTTAGGGCAGCTAGAGGTATTATTGTAGATATTGCTGAGATGAATGTCCCTCTAACACTCATCTATTTTCTTATGAGAAATTCCTAATACAGAATGTTAATCAAAGGGCTTGATTATTTTTAAGACTGATATATGTCATCAAACTGCCCTGTGGGGTGACTGTCCCAGATGACACTCATTTTGATGGAATTTTTTTATTGTGGTAGAATATATATAAGATAAAATTTACTATTCTAACCATTTTAAAATTCAGTGGTATTAAGTACATTCACATTGTTGTGCAATCATCATCAGTATCTATCTACAGAACTTTTCCATCATTCTAAATTGAGACTCTGTACCCATTAAGCAATAACTCTCTGTTCTCCCCTCCCTTCAGTCCCTGGTAACCACTATTTGACTTTCTGTCTCTATGAATTTGCCTGTTCTAGGTATCTTATATAAGTGGAATCATACCAATTTGTCTTTTTTTTTTTTAGGCTGGGTGCAGTGGCTCATGCCTGTAATCCCAGCGCTTTGGGAGGCTGAGGTAGGCAGATCACGAGGTCAGGAGTTTGAGACCAGCCTGGCCAACATGTTGAAACCCCATCTCCACTAAAAATACAAAAAATTAGCTGGGTGTGGTGGTGGGTGCCTGTAATCCCAGCTACTCGGGAGGCTGAGGCAGGAGAATCACTTGAACCCGGGAAGTGGAGGTTGCAGTGAGCCAAGACCTTGCCACTGCACTCCAGCCTGGCAACAGAGTGAGATTCCATCTCAAAAAAAAAAAAAAAATTGTCTTTTTGTGTCTGGCTTATTTCACTGGGCCTAATATCCTTAAGGTTCATCCATGTTGTAGTATCTGAATTTCCTTCCTTTTTAAGGCTAATATTCTATTGTATGTATATACCACATTTGTTTAGCCGTTCACCTGTCAATGGACATTTGGATTATTTCCACCTCTTGGCTATTGTGAATAATGCTATCTTGAACATGGGTATACAAACATCTGCTTGAGTTCCTGCTTTCAATTCTTTTGAGTATATATACCCAGAAGTAGAATTGCTGGATACTATAGTAGTTCTATTTTTAATTTTTCAAGGAACTGCCATACTGTTTTCCAGAGTGGTTGCACCATTTTACAATCTCACCAGCAGCATACAAGAGTTCTAACTTTTCCACATGCTCACTAACACTTGTTGTTTTCTGTGGGTTTTTTTTTTAAATAGCCATCCTAGTGGGTGTAAAAAGGTATCTAATTGTGGTTATGATTCACATTTCCCTAATGATTAGTGATGCTAGCATCTTTTTGTGTGATTTTTAAAGAATTATTTTAAATATTTGCCAACCTGATACTGTCCACGTTTCAGTTTGGTTCAGTTCAGTTCACTGCAATTTAGTTCACATGTATTTTCACCAACAGAGTTGTCATTCTTCTCAAAGAACACCTGGGGAGGCCAAGTTAGAGGATTGCTTGAGCCGAGGAGTTTGAGACCAGCCTGGGCAACATAGACGTGGGCAACATAGACTCATCTCTACCAAAAATTTAAAAATTAGCTGGGCCTGGTGGCATGTGCCTGTAGTCTCAGCTACTGGGGAGGCAGAGGTGGGAAGATCATTTGAGCCCAGGAGGTCCAGGCTGCAGTGAGCCTTACTCATGCCACTGCACTCCAGCCTGGGCAACAGAGGGAGACTCTGTCTCAAAACAAAACAAAACAAAACAAAATACCTGGAGACAACCTGAATGCCCATATGTAGGTAAATGTCACAATCAACTATTGCACATATATACCATGGAATACTAGTGGCCACTGGAAAAAAAAATGAGGCAGTTATCAATATACAGGAATGTTTTCCTCAATATATAGTTTTGTGGGTTTTGTTGTTGTTGTTTGAGACAGGGTCTCCCTCTGTCACCCAGGTTGGAGTGCAGTGGTGTGATCTTGGCTCACTGCAGCCTTGGTCTCCCGGGCTCAATCGATTCTCCCACCTCGGCTTCCCAAATAGCTGGGACCAAAGGCACACACCACCATGCCTGGCTACTTTTTTTTATTTTTTTGTAGAGCTGGGGTTTCTCCGTGTTGCCCAGGCTGGTCTTGAACTCCTGAGGTCAGGTGATCCACCTGCCTCAACGTCCCACAGTACTGGGATTACAGGCATGAACCACCACACCCAGTCTGGTGAGTTTTGACAAATATACCCACATAACCACCATCTCAATCAAGATGTAGAACATTGACAGAACACTAGAAAGTTCTCTCATACCCCTTTGCAGCCAATCATCCCTCTCCTGCCTCCCACAACTACTCTGTTTTCTATCACCATAGACTAAGTTGTTTTGCCTGTTATAGAGCTGCATATAAATGGAATAATACAGTGTGTACTCTTTTATGTTTGACTTATTTTCTCAATTCAGTATCTACGAGATTCATCCACATTGTATGCATCAGTAGCTTGTTCTGTTTTTTAATTGATGAGTAGTATTCCATTGAGTTGATACACTACATTTTGTTTGTCCACTTACCTGCTAATGAACATTTGGGTTGTATCTAGTTTCTGGCTACTTGAAATAAAACTGCTATGAACATTGGTGTACAAGTCTTTTGTGGATATATGTTTTCATTTTTCCTGAGTAAATACTTAGGAGTGGAAAGGCTGAGTCACAGGGTAGATGTAGGTTAAGATTTAGAAGAAATTGTAGGAGTTTTTTTTTTTAAACAATGTTTTGTTTTATTTTTGATAAAATAGAGATGAGGTCTCACTATGTTGCCCAGGCTGGTCTCGAACTCCTGGGCTCAAGTGATCTGCCCAGCTCGGCCTCCCAAAGTGCTAGGATTACAGGCGTGATGAACAATGTTTTTAGAGATGGCAGAGCATTGGATTAGGAACTCAGAGACCAGGGCATAAATGTGGACAAGTCACTCTTACTCCTTGGGTCTCAGTTTCCTCACTGCAGAATGAGGGGATTGGTTGAATGCTCTTAACCCTTTTCAGTGTGAAGAGTCTGTTATTCTTGGAGGTTGTAGAAATCCAAAACCTGATGTATGCCTGACTCAGGTATTAAAGGAACTGGCCCTCAAGGACCCTCACCAGCAGCTACCTGTGCTCAAGAAGTACAAGCAGTTCTCCCATATCAGGCATGTATGAGGGTAATCACAATGTTAATAACAGTTGCAGTATAAAGAGGCCTTTGCCCCATAGAACCCATACTCTTTCCACATGGCACAATGACTTTGGAGTATACTTTGCACTGAAGGAAGCCATTGCAGACCAGGTGCTTTCTCAAGGACTAGGAGTGGGAAGCAAGCAGTGAGTGACTCAGGATGAGTCAAAACAAGAGATTAAATTGAGACCCAGGATGACTTCTGTTTGGAAAGCACAGAAAATGGGCCTTGCAAGTGGTCTTCCATTAAAAATGAGGCCTGGCTGAGCGCAGTGGCTCATGCCTGTATTCCAGCACTTTGGGAGGCCAAGGCAGGAGGATTGCTTGAGGCCATGAGTTCAAAACCAGACTGGGCAACATAGCAAGACTGTCTCTACAAAAAGTAAAACATAAAAAAATTAGGTGGGCATGGTGGCACACACCTGCAGTCCCAGCTACTTGGGGGGCTGAGGTGGGAGGATCACTTGAACCTGGGAGTTTGAGCCTGCAGTGAGCTATGATTCTGCCACTGCACTCCAGCCTGGGTGACAGAGCCATACCCTATCTCTAAGAAAAAAGGGGGAAAAAAAGGCCCTGTGCTGGGACTCACAGCCTAAGCCCATATAAAAAAATCTCAATTTGACTTCTTGGCTCTTTTCAAGCACAACCCTGAATCATCTTCTCTCTCCCATCAGCAATTGATATCTCAGTAAGGATCTATTCCTCTTTACCCCTACCCATCAGAGCCAAACTGAAGCTGGAGTTCAATCGGCAGCCCCTTTTCCAATATAGAATCACTCCAAAGACAGAGATTTTATGATTTCATATTTGGATAATCATGGCTTTAGAACTGATGGCTTTTCATCTCAGACTTTTATTCTGTGTTTTGGAGTTGATAATTGTGTACATGTCTAAGTGGGCATATATTTATAGGAGTGTTTATATATGTGTTTGTGTGTATATGGTTCCATTTTCATGTGTGTTATATAATACTGAAATCAAAGTTAATTGGATACATTAGGCTACACCCCAGGCGGTTAATTGTTGCTCTTTGTCATTCAAGGTAATGAGAATGACACTCCTCTTTTCTTACTTCCTGGTAAGATTTCCCAAACTTGGAAAAACCCTGTTGAGGAGTTTGACTGAGACCCTTAGAAAATCCCAGGGATCAGGGACAGTTGACAGTGGATTCGGTTCTTTTCCCTATTCCCAAACAGAAGATCATTCTCTGAGTATCTGCCTTAATGCTTTGTCTTACCATTTTTCGTGTCTCAGCAGGGACAGATGAACCATCATTCAGAAAGATGTGTGTGCATGCGTATTTATTTATAATGACTCCTACATAATAGTTTCTGTAGGTAGAGGATGAAATAGTGTTAATTAGTACTGAAAGGTCTTTCCATTGGCTGTGACTATGATGATTAGAAAGTAGATGTAGGAGAGGAAAGCCAGTTTTGTGGTTCAGTTATCATTATGCTCATAAACATTGACTGCATTATGAAGTCCATTTCCTTTGCTGTACTTTAAGCCCAGAATAGGTAATAAAACCAAACAGACTGCAGACCTGGGTTTCAGCCCTAGCTCTCCCACCAAGTCTCTGGTTATCTTGGCCAAGGCCTGTTCTTTCTCTGGGCTTCAGTTTCTTACTGATAAACTGTAAGGTCTTTCTCCATTAGATTGTTTACCCCTATACCTTTGCAACTTGCTATCTATAGCACCTGGAAGTGTCAGGCATATATGAGTCACTCAAGATGTATTTGTGGAGTCAGTGAATGTATTATGGAGTCAAGCTAGAAGATTGCTAGGGTCCCTTACTGCTTGGATAGCCAGTGATCCTAGAGTCGTGTTTGTTCTTCTTCTTTTCCTTTTTATCATTTTTCCCCTCCGTTCCTCCTAACATCTATTGATGCAGTAAATAATACATTCACATGGTTCATAAGGTACATAGGCATATAGAGAGAGAAAGCCTCTCAGTCATCCAAATTTTTTCCCTGAAAGCAATCAATTTTGTCAATTTCTTGTGTATTCAGGAGATTTTTAAATGTACATATAAGCAAATATGTACCTATATTCTTCCTCTACCTCCTCATGTTCTACACTAATGTTAGCATACTATATGTTGCTTTGCACACTTAACTTTTTTTTTTTTTTTGAGATGGAGTCATGCTCTGTCACCCAGGCCAGAGTGCAGTGGCGCAATCTCAGCTCACTGCAACCTCTGCCTCCTGGGTTCAAGCGATTCTCCTGCCTCAGCCTCCCAAGTAGCTGGGACTACAGGCGCATACTGCCACACCTGGCTAATTTTTGTATTTTTAGTAGAGATGGGGTTTCACCATATTAGCTAGGCTGGTCTCGAACTCCTGTCCTCAGGTGATTGGCCCACCTCAGCCTCCCAAAGTGCTGGGATTGCAGGCGTGAGCCACTGCGCCTGGCCACACTTTACTTTTTGAATCCAACAAACTATCTTTGAGATCAATCCATATCAATACACAAGCGTTTTCCTTTTTAAAAATAGCTGGATAGTATTATTCAATTAAGTGGATATATTGTAATATATACTAGTGCTTCGTGGATGGATACTTATATTGTTTCTAATCTTTTTCAATTACAAATAGTGCCATAATAAATAACTTCGAGTGTAGGTCATTTTGCCCTTACATGAGCCAATCTATAGCATAAATTCCTTTTTTTTTTTTTTTTTTTGAGATGGAGTTTTGCTCTTGTCACCCAGGCTAGAATGCAGTGGCGCAATCTTGGCTCAGGGCAACCTCCACCTCCCAGGTTCAAGTGATTCTCCTGCCTCAGCCTCTGACATAGCTGGGACTACAGGCACACATCACCACAGCGGGCTAATTTTTGTATTTTTAGTAGAGATGGGGTTTCAACATGTTGGCCAGGCTGATCTCAAACTCCTGACCTCAGGAGATCCACCCACCTTGGCTTCCCAAACTGCTGGGATTACAGGCATGAGCCACCATGTCCAGCCTGTAGCATACATTCTTAGAAGTAAAATAGTTAGGTCAAAGGATATGTGAATGTATAATTTTTTAAAAATGAACTTTATTCTTTTAGAGCAGTTTTAGGTTCAGAGCAAGATTGAGTGGAAAGTAAAAAGAGTTCCCATATACCCCTGCCAACCCCATGCCCTGCCTCTCCCACTATCATCCAACATTAGCGTGGTACCTTTGACAATTGATAAATCTACATTTACACTTCGTTATCACCCAAAGTCCATAGTTTAGATTAGGGTTCACTCTTGCTGTTGTACATTTTATGAGTTTTGACAAACGTACAGTGACATGCATTCATCATTATAGAATCATGCACAATGTAGCTTTTCTTCCCTAAACATCCTCTGTGTTCTGTCTATTCACCCCATCCTCCCCACTTAGCCCCTAGCAACCACTGATCTTGTTACTGCCTCTGTAGTTTTGTATTTTCCAGAATGTCATATAATTGGAATGATGTAGTAGGTAGCCTTTTCCAGTTGGCTTTTTTCATCTAGTAATATGCATTTAAGGTTCTTCCATGTTTTTTCGTGGCTTGATAGGCCATTTCTTTTTAGCACTGAATGATATTCTGTTGTATGGATATACCATAGTATATTTATCCACTCACCTGCTGAAGGACATTTTGCATTTTGGTTGCTTCAAGTTTTGGCAATTATGAATAATGCTGCTATAAATATTTATGTACAGGTTTTTGTGTGGACATAAGTTTTTAACTCATTTACTAAGGAGCACGATTGCTGGATTGTATGCATAGAAAGACTGTGTTTAGCTTTGGAAGGAAATGCCACACTTTTATTCAAAGTAGCTGTACCATCTTGCATTCTCACAGTGAATGAGAGTTCCTGTTGTTCTACATCCTTGTCAACATTTGGTGTTGTCAAGTTTTAGATTTGGGCCATTCTAATAGGTGTATAGTGGCATCTCATTTTTGTTTTAATTTGTAATTCTCTAATTACATAACATCGAGCATCTCCCCATATGTTTATTTGCCATCTATATATCTTCTTTGGTGAGGTGTCTAGACATTCAGATTTTTGCTCATTTTTAAATTAGGTTGTTAATTTTCTTATTGTTAAGTTTTAAGAGGTTTTTTTGCATATTTTGGATAATAGTCATTTGTCAGGTACATATTTTGCAAATATTTTCTCCCACTTTGTGCCTTATCTTCTCATTCTCTTGATATAATTTTGATAGATGTTCTCAAATTACTGTTACAGGTGGTACCAATTGATGCTCCCCACAGTGAATGTGTGAGAGTACATGTTTCCTCTCACAACGTAATGTGTCATCAATTTGTTTATGATATTTTCCAGTCTAGTAAGTAAAAAATAGTATCTCACTGTAGTTTTGATTGCATTTATCTTATTAGAGAGAGATTTGGTATATTTCAATATGTTTGTGTGCCATTTGTATTTCTTTCTATATAAGCTTTATGTTTTCTTTCCTTTTTCTGTTGAGATTGGTTCTTATAGTTGCCATGGATGGTGAGACTATGTTTGAGCAAATCCTGTGGGCCAGTTCAGCACAGAGCTCAATATCCTCAAGATCTCCTCTCTCTGCACTCTTCATTTATACAAGCTTCTTTGGCATTTGTACTCATTCACTGCCAGTATCCTCTGTGGTGCAAGCTCCTGAATTTTCATTGATACTGTTTATGTTCTTTTGACTAATGTTCCAGTTGTTCTATATTTGGTACTCAATGTGGTTTTACCCAACATGAGTCACTCTCTTCTTTCCCAGGGTTATCACACAGGGAAACCCCATTCTCCTTAGTCAGCAATACCTTAAGTTCTAGTACACAATCCTTTTACTGACACATGCCAACTGTGATCATGAATTATCACAGAGTTACTCATCTTTATAAATATTTTGAAACTCCTCTTAACTCACTACTACTGCCATTGTTACAATGGGATCACTGTTACCTCACAGTATCTCTGATGCCTGGTGTGTCATACATGTGAAAAGTATCACATCCAGGACAGGAAACAGCTCTCCTAATTCTCAGTTCGGAGTGCTTTCATTTATCTATCCATCTATTATTCATCTACCCATCGATCCATCCATCCGTCTACCTACCCATCCATTCATTTATCATCCATCCATGTAACCATGTATCTGTCCATCCGCCCACCAATTCTGTGATTACCTTGCTTTCAAAAAGGACTAAAAATCCCTATGCACCCATGTTCATAGCAGCATTATCCACAATAGCCAAAAGGTGAAAGCAACCCAATTGTCCATCAACAGGTGAATAGATAAGCAAAATGTGGTATATACATACAGTGGAATATTATTCAGCCTTAAAAAGGAAGGAAATTTGGACACATGCTTTAACATGGATGCCGGACGCGGTGGCTTATGCCTGTAATCCCAGCACTTTGGGAGGCAGAGGTGGGCGGATCACGAAGTCAGGAGATCGAGACCATCCTGGCTAACACGTTGAAACCCCGTCTGTACTAAAAATACAAAATATTAGCTGGGCGTGGTGGCAGGTGCCTGTAGTCCCAGCTACTCAAGAGGCTGAGGCAGGAGAATGGCGTGAACCCAGGAGGCAGAGCTTACAGTGAGCCAAGACCGCGCCACTGCACTCCAGCCTGGGCGACAGAGTGAGACTCCATCTCAAAAAAAAAAAAAAAAAAAAAAACATAGACGAACCTTGAGGACATTATGCAAAGTGAAATAAGCCAGTGATGAAAGAACAAATACTATGTGATTCCATTTATAATAGGTACCTAGAGTTAGTCAGATTCATAGAGACAGAAAGTAGAATGGTGGTTACCAGGGGCAACTGGGGTAGGGCGGGGGTGGGAGATTGGGGAGTTATTGTTTTAATATGTATTGTTTAAACAGTACAGAGTTTCCATTTTGTGAGATGAAGGGAGTTCTGTGGATGGGTGGTGGAGATGGTAGCACAACAGTATGAATGTATTTAATGCCACTGAAGTGGATACTTGATGGTTATGAAGGTAAATTTTATGTTATGTGTATTTTACCACAATGAAAAAAATACCTACAATAAGATTTATTGTCAGCAAGGATTTATTGAGCTGCTATAAGTTCCACGCCATGTGTGCTAGGCACTGGAAATAGAGCAGTGAATAAGAAAAAGTCCTAGACCTCACAGAGCTTGTCTTATAGTGGAGAGGACAGACAATAAACAAGTAAGCAAATAAATAAACAATACATTTATATTTTGTTATGAGTACTATGAAAGTCACAGATTGGGGTGGGGGTGGGATTTTCTGATTAAGATGCCCAAGGAGGGTGGTGGTGGCATGATCACGGCTCACTGCAGCCTCTACCTCCTGGGCTCAAATGGTCCTCCCACCTCAGCCTCCTGAGTAGCTAGGACTACAGGTGTGTGCCACCACACATGGCTCATTTTTGTATTTTTTGTAGAGGTGGGTTTCACTATGTTGCCCAGGCTGGTCTTGAATTCCTGAGCTCAAACGATCTGCCCACCTCTGCCTCCCAAAGTTCTGGGATTACAGGCGTGAGCCACTGTGCCTGGCTGGTGGTTGTTCTTAACCTATTTTGGGGTCACTGATCTTTCTGAGAATCTAATAGAAACCATGGGCCCTCTTTGCAAGAAAACACAAATATGGCAATTGTGCATAGAGTTTTAGGGATAAATGAATGTCTGAAACCCCCTCTGAGGGGGTCCATCCATGAGTCTTAGGTTAGAAACCTTTCCTTTTCTGGCTCACTCCTCAGTGTTCGATGGGATGAATTCCAGTATGCTTAGCAAACTGGCCAACCTCCCTGGTGGTTCAGTTTCTACCCACATCTCTGGCCTTATCTCCTGCTGTTCTGCCCAGCCATGCAGACCACAAGCACTTCCAGTTCTCTGAATACATATACCACATGTTCTGACATCTTCATACCTTTTCCCAACTGTGTTGACTCAGAAACTCCTACTTACCCCTTAAGACTCAATGCAAATATTCTCTCTTAATGGTTGTCTCTTTTGCCTCTCTCTCTCTACCTCCCTCAGCAAGACGTGTTAGACAAGTTAGCCATGTTCTGCCTCACCTTGCCTCACTATCACAGCATTTTTCACATTATAGTGGTTTATGTTCATTATTTTAATTCATTTATTCACACAGCTAATATTTATTGAGCATCTATTATGTGCTAGCCCAGTGTTAGGCACAGTGATGGCTAAGAGAGCCTGGCACTGTCCTCATGAAGCTTATAGTTTAGTGGGGAGCATAGATATTAAAAGTATAGTTATACAAATACCTGTAAATTGAAAATTAGGAAAAGTTTAGGAAGGATGAGAGCAGGGATCTTTGAGCTATCTAGGTTAGGGGTGTAGTGCAGGTTAGGAAGTATCTCAGAAGACACTCAAGCTCTCAAGCTGAGATTAAAGGATTGCAAGAGTTTGCCTAGCAAAAGCTAAGAGGGAAGCATTCCTGCACAGGGAACCGTGTGCGCATGTCATATGTAAACTTTCCCTGATTGACCGAGAGGGCCTCTGAAGCAGAGATGGTGTTGTACTCAAGTCTGCAACCCCAGTGCCTGGCAGAGTGGATATTCTGAATAAATGAATGAATGAATGAATGAATGAGTTTCTCAGTGCAGAATTATCAGGCTTAGCCATTAGATGGGAGAGTATTCTTTTGATGGTGAAATAAATTCACTTTTTAATCCTTTTTAAATGACACATTGAACAATGAATGAAGCCCATGAAACTTAGGACCAGTCAACAGGTTGGGAAGAAGTTATCTGGGTGGGGAATTTAATTTTGGTCATCTCCTGGTCCAGTGCTGTGTGCATGTGTTATTTATTTGTTTATAAAAATGAGATGAGTCCCAGCTACTCAGGAGGCTGAGGCAGAAGGATCACTTGAACCTGGAAGGCAGACGTTGCAATGAACCAAGATCATGATACTGCACTCCAGCCTGGGTGACACAACAAAACTCTGTCTCAAAAAAGAAAAAGAGGTGAAATGCACATAACATAAAACTAACCATTGTAAAGTGAACAGTGGCACTTAGCACACTCACAGTGCTGTGAAACTGCCATCTCCATCTAAAACATTTTTCTCATCCTGGAAGGAAAACCCCCCATGGCCGGGCACAGTGGCTCACACCTGTAATCCCAGCACTTCGGGAGGCCGAGGCTGGCGGATCACAAGGTCTGCAGTTCGAGACCAGCTGGCCAACATAGTGAAACCCTGTCTCTACTAAAAATACAAAAATTAGCCAGGCATGGTGGTGGGCGCCTGTAATCCCAGCTACTCGGGAGGCTGAGGCAGGAGAATCACTTGAACCAGGGAGGCAGAGGTTGCAGTGAGCCGAGACCACACCATTGCACTCCAGCCTGGGTGACAGAGCGAGACTCCATCTCAAAAAAAAACCCATGACCATTAAGTACATGCTTGGGTTTTTAAGCTCCTGAAAGGCAGGGATTATAGTTTGTTTGTTTGTTTGTTTGTTTGAGATGGAGTTTTGCTGTTGTTGGCCCGGGCTGGAGTGCAATGGCACAATCTCAGCTCACTACAACCTCCGCCTCCCAGGTTCCAGCAATTCTCTTGCCTCAGCCTCCCAAGTGGCTGAGATTACAGGTGCCCGTCACCATGCCTGGCTAATTTTTGTATTTTTAGTAGGGACGGGGTTTCACCATGTTGACCAGGCTGGTCTCAAACTCCTGACCTCAGGTGATCCACCTGCCGTGGCCTCCCAAAGTGCTGGGATTATAGGCGTGAGCCACTACGTCTGGCCAGGACTATGTTTTTCTTTTTCATTTTGCACCCCTACTTCTTTTTTTCTTTTGAGACTGGGTCTTGCTCTGTCACCCAGGCTGAGCACAGTGGCGCAATCTTGGCTTACTACAACCTCCACTTCCTGGGCTCAAGTGATCCTCCCACCTTAGCCCCAGCCACTCCCCACCAACAGTTGGGACCACAGGATTTTTGAGGCTGGTTTTTGAGCTAGCTGGCCTCAGATTCCATCCACAGAACACCTGGCGTGAAACAGAAGCAATCACTACATTCAGGGTAAAAATAAGCAATTCCAGTAAGGATAAAATTTTTAAGTGAGTGTAAATGTGACTCATCTGATGAAAAACAAATAAATTACATTTAGAAACAATCATATTGAAAGTAAAAAAATTGAACTGTATAAAAATAGTGAACTTTTGTCAATTCAGTATTAATTTAGCTGCTTCATTTAAAAAAAACTCATTCTACTTGATGAAAAAATTTACCTGAATTATGTGCATCATGCAATCCAAAATGATGTAACCAAAAGATCTGGTTCATTTTTTCCATTTTTAAATTGTTCTAGTGTTGTGTATAGTCCTAAAGAGTAGACCAGGTCTCAATCACAGTCCACATCATGATTCACAGATGCAAAAGCATCATCTTGAACATCCAGCTGCTCCAAGAAGGAAGTGAGGGGAAACTGGAGGGCGGGGAGGTGTATTAGTTTTCTATGCTGCCGTAACAAATTACCACAAATTTGATGGCTCAAGATTACACAAATTTAATTCAAGTGACAGAAACTCAGTTTAAACCTACATAAGGATAAAACAAAAAGCCAAGTGTGGGTAACATATTTGTATATTCAACAAAATTGTGCAAAAGGGTGATGGGGGTGAATTTACATGTGACTGGACCCAGAAACCCAAAATGTCAAAATTCCCTGTTCTAACTTTGTATCTCATCTCTGCTTTTCCTTTTTCTTTTTTTTTTTTTTTTTTTGAGACATAGTCTCACTCTGTCACCCAGGCTGGAATGCAATGGCGGGATCTCGGCTCACTGCAACCTCCGCCTCCTGAGTTCAAGCAGTTCTCCTGCCCTAGCCTTCCAAGTAGTTGGGATTACAGATGAGCACCACCACATCCAGTTAATTTTGTATTTTTAGTAGAGATGGGGTTTAACTATGTTAGCCAGGCTGGTCTCGAGCTCCCAACCTCAGGTGATCTGCCCACCTCAGCCTCCTAAAGTGCTGGGATTACAGGCGTGAGCCACTGTGCCCGGCCTCATCTCTGCTTTTTCTATGTTGACTTATTTCAAACTATTCTGAGTGTTTCCATGTGTGGAGTATGAATATTATTGAAAAGTATTTTTAAGTCATCTAGCATCCAGGTAAACACTACTAATAATTTTCCTCACAGCTTTTACGTGTGTTATTGTTTGTACATACACACACACCAAGTATACATATTTGGGGATCAAAGTGTGTACATATAGTTTCATAGCCTGTTTTTGTTACTCAGCACTTTTTAATGAAGATTTTCCTTGTTATTAAATTTTATTTAAAAATGGGCCAGGCACAGTGGCTCATGCCTGTAATCACAGCACTGTGGGGGCCCAAGGCAGGAAGATCACTTGAGCTCAGGAGTTTGAGATCAGCCTGGGCAACATAGTGAAACCTCATCTACACACACACACACACACAAAAATTTTTTTTTGAGACGGAGTTGTGCTCTTGTTGCCCAGGCTGGAGTGCAATGCCACAAACTCAGCTCACTGCAGCCTCCGCCCCCCACCCCGGGTTCAAGCAATTCTCCTGCCTCAGCCTCCTGAGTAGCTGAGATTACAGGTGTGCACCACCAGGCTCGGCTAATTTTGTATTTTTAGTAGAGACCAGATTTCTCCATGTTGGTCAGGCTGATCTCAAACTCCTGACCTCAGGTGATCTGCCCGCCTCGGCCTCCCAAAGTGCTAGAATTATAGGCATGAGCCACTGTGCCTGGCCCCCAAAATTTTTTTAATTAGCTGAGTGTGGTGGCACACACCTGTAGTCCCAGCTACTTGGGAGGCTGAGGTGGGAGGATCACTTGAGCCCAGCAGGTCGAGGCTGGAGTGATCACACCACTGCAGTCCCAGCCTCGGCAACAGAGTGAGACTCTGTCTCAAAAAAAAAAAAAAAAAAAAAAAAAAAAAAATACAATGAATGAATTGAAAAATCCAATAGAGAGCAGCAACAGCAGACTCAATCAGACAAAAGAAAGAATCAGCAAACTTGGAGACAGGTCATTTGAAATTATCAAAAGGAATGAAAATGAGTAAAGAAACCCTGTGAGACTTGTGGGATAACATCAAGGGAACCAATGTGTGCATTATGGCACCTCCAAAAAGAGAAGAGAAATAAGCATAAAAGCTTATTTAAAGAAATGATTACTGAAAAAAATCCCAAATCTGGGGAAAATTGACATCCAGATTTATGAAGCCCAAATTCTCCAAATAAGTTAAACCTAAAGAGTTCTACATCAAGATACATTATAATTGAATTGTCAAAACTCAAAGACAAAGAGGTAATTTTGAAAGCAGCAAGAGAAATGTGACTTTTCACATAAAAAGAAATCCCCGTGAGACTGTCAGTATGTCTCAGCATAAACCTTGCAGGCCATAATAGAGTGAGATAATATATTCAAAGTGCTGGCTGGGTGCAGTGGCTCACATCTGTAGTCCCAGCACTTTAAGAGGCCAAGATGGGAGGATTGCTTGAAACTAGGAGTTCAAAATCAGCCTGGGAAACATAGTGAGACCCCATATCTACATACAAAAATTAGCTGGGTGTGGTGGTGCATGCCAGTAGTCCCAGATGTTGAGGAGGCTGAGGTGGGAAAATCACCTGAGCCCAGGAAGTCAAGGCTTCATCAAGGTTTCAGCGAGCCATGATCACATAACTGCACTGCAGCCTAGGCAACAGAGTAAGACCCTGTCTCAAAACAACAACAACAAAAATAAAAGGTTCTAGGAAAAAAAAAAACCTACCAACCAAGAATACCATACCCAGCAAAACTGTCCTATAAAAATGAAGGAAAGACAAACAAAAACTGAGAGGGTTAATCACCACTAGACTTGCCTTATAGGAAGTGCTAAATAAAGTTTTTCAAGTTGAAATGAAAAGATGCTAAACAGCAACATGAAAGCATATGAAAGTACAAAACTTGCTAGTAAAGGTAAATATATGGTCAAAAACATAATAACATAATAAAGTAATGGTGATGTATAAATTATTTCTAACCCTAGTATAAAAATTAAAAAGGGAATAAAAATAACTTTGTCGGCCGGGCACGGTGGCTCATGCCTGTAATCCCAGGACTTTGGGAGGCCAAGGCAGGCAGATCACTTGAGGTCAGGAGTTCGAGACCAGCCTGGCCAACATGGTGAAACCCTGTCTCTACTAAAAATACAAAAATTAGCTGGGCGTGGTGGCAGTCGCATGTAATCCCAGCCACTCGGGAGGCTGAGGCAGGAGAATTGCTTGAACCCAGGAGGCAGACGTTGCAGTGAGCCGAGATCATCCCACTGCACTCCAGCCTGGGCGACAGAGCAAGACTCCAGCTCAAAAAAAAAAAAATCTTGTCAGCTTTAAAATAAACTGTTATAACTATATTTTATGCAAGCTTCAGGGTAAACACAAAAAACCTACAATAGATACACAAAATATTGAGAGAAAATAATCAAAGCATATCACTACCAAAAAAAATCATCAAATCACAAAGAAAGAGAGAAGAAACAAAGAATCTACAAAATGGAAAACAAGAAAATGACAGCAGTAAGTCCTTACCTATCAATAATTACTTTTAAATGTAAATGAATTAAACTCACCAATCAAAAGACATATAGTGGCTGAATGGACTTAAAAAAACAAAACGATTCAACTAAGTGCTATCTACAAGAGTTTCATTTTAGATATAAGAGCATACAGGTTAAAATTGAGGAGATGGAAAAAGACCCATGCAAATGGTAGCCAAAAGAGAGCAACTGTGGGAACTGATATTAGACACAATAGACTTTTAAGTCAAAAACTGTCACAAGCGGCTCACGCCTGTAATCCCAGCACTTTGAGACACTGAGGTAGGAGGATCGCCTGAGGTCAGGAGTTTGTGCCAGCCTGGCCAAGATGGTGAAACCCCATCTCTACTAAAAATACAAAATTTGGCCGGGCATGGTGGGAGGCACCTATAATCCCAGCTACTCAGGAGGCTGAGGCAGGAGAATCACTTGAACCCCGGAGACAGAGGTTGCAGTGAGCTGAGATCATGCCACTGCACTCCAGCCTGGGTGAGAGAGCGTGACTCCATCTAAAAAACAAACTGTCACAAGTGACAAAGTAGGTCGTTATACAATGACAACAGTATCAACTCAATAGGAAGATACAGCAATTATAAATATATATGTGCCCAACATCACAGTACCTAGATAGAAGCATTAAGGGATCTGAAGGGAAAAATAGAGAGCAATGCAACAATATGTAGGAGACTTCAGTACCTCACCTTCAATAATGGATAGGTTACCCAGACAGAAAATCAATAAGGAAACACTAGACTTGAACAACACTGTATACCTAAAGTACCTAATAGAAATGTACACAACGTTCCACCCAACCGCAATAGAATACGCATTCTTCTGAAGTGCACAAAGAACATTCTTCAGGATAGAGCACATGCTAGGTCATAAGAAAAGTTTTAACAAATTTAAGAAGATTGAAATCATATCAAATATGTATCTTTTCTGGCCAGAGAGGTATGAAACTAGAAATCAATAACAGAATTTCAGAAAATTCACAAACACATGGAAATTAAATAATATGTTTCTGAACAACCAATGGCTCAAAAAAAGGGGGAAACTTTGAGGCAAATGCAAATGGAAACACAGCATACCAAAATTTATAGGATATGACAAAAGCAGTTCCTTTTTTTTTTTTTTTTGAGATGGAGTTTCACTCTTGTTGCCCAGGCTGGAGTGCAATAGCACAATCTCGACTCACTGCAACCTCCACCTGCCAGGTTCAAGTGATTCTCCTGCCTCAGTCTCCCGAGTAGCTGGGATTACAGGCATATGCCACCATGCCCGGCTAATTTTGTATTTTTTTTTTTTTTTAGTAGAGATGGGGTTTCTCCATGTTGGTCAGGATGGTCTCGAACTCCCGACCTCAGGTGATCCACCCGCTTCAGCCTCCCAAAGTGCTGGGATTACAGGTATGAACCACCACACCCAGCCTTCTTTTTCTTTTTAGTTTTTGTTTGTTGGTTGGTTGGTTGGTTGATTGGAGACAGGGTCTCACTCCGCTAACCAGGCTGTGCAGTGGCATGGTTTCAGCTCACTGCAGCCTCAACTTCCCTAGCTCAAGTGATCCTCCCACCTCAGCCTCCCGAGTAGCTAGGACTACAGGTGTATGTCACCACACCTGGCTCATTTTTTTAAATTTTTTGTAGAGATGAGTTCTCACTATGTTGCTCAGGCTGGCCTTGAACTCCTGGGTTCAAACAATCCTCCCGCTTCAGCCTCCCAAGGTGCTGGGAGCCTTGGGCCCGGCCCACAATTTTAATAGATGATGTAATTGACTATCCTATTTCAAGTTCTGTGAGATTTCAAACAGTTACAAGTAATTTTGTTTCCTTGCAGTGCTTCTAAGATCATGGCAGTGTGTTACACTAGAAAGGGCGGGGCTCAAAATCCTAACCCTAACTTTATAGGTATGGACTTTCCACAACTTTTCTGCTACACCCTAGGTTCCCTCTTTTAAGTTCTTTTTAAAAGAGGCACAATAGAGGCAATAATCTGGTTATTGCAATCAGACTCTATTACAAGACTCTAGGAATCCTAAACTCCTCTTTCCCCTTAGATGACATTGCTTTCATTCAATCCTTTTATGATGTTTGGTATATGTATATGTAAAGTACTGTTATATGTGCAGTGGGGTCATGAAAAGTTGAGTCTTGGCCTTCAGGTTGCTCATAATACCTTCTGGGAAGCCTTCCAGCAAAAAAGAGTGTAACACTCCTCTGACCCATGGGAGGACCTCTTCACCCCCTTTTCTTCCCACCTTCACCTTAGCTGGTATGACCTGGTGTTCTCCAATTGCCTCTCTTCACATCTCTATGCCGTTGCTCATCTCTCCCTCATTCAATTTCAGCCTTCAGAAATCCTACCCACCCTTCAAGGCTCAGTTCCAAGCTGCCCCCTCCAAGAAATTTTCCTGGAACTTCCCAGGTCCATTATTCTCTCTCTTTGTCTCTGTTTTCATCTGTTCTGACATTATCACACTCCTTGTATTGTACTTATTTGTGTGCGCGTTTTAGTTTAGATCTCTGCCCTTTTTAACAATTAATTCCACTGTATAGCTTTAATTAACATTCTGCTTTTGAACCTTTCTTTCTCCCTCTCTGGAGGTAACTATCATCTTGAAGTTACCAGTTATCATCCCTATGGTCATTTTATACTTCATTTCCACATATGTTTGCACCCATGAACCTTCTATTTCTGTCTTTGTCTATCCATAAAACACATACACACATTGATAAAGTTTTTGGTGCTTTATTTATGTATTTATGGAGATAGAGTCTCACTCTGTTGCCCAGGTTGGAGTGCAGTGGCACTATCTTGGCTCACTCCAACCTCCGCCTCCCGGGTTCAAGCAATTCTCATGCCTCAGCCTCCCTAGTAGCTGGGACTACAGGTGCACGCCATGCCCAGCTAGTTTTTGTATTTTTAGTAGAGACAGAGTTTCACCACAGTGGCCAGGCTGGTCTTGAACTCCTGGCCTCAAGTGATCTGCCTGCCTTGGCCTCCCAAAATGCTGGGATTACAGGCATGAGCCACTGTGTTCACCCAGTTTTTGGTGCTTTAAAAATGCATATAAGTGCAAGCACATGACACTATACTGTTTTGTTTACTATGGCTTTATAGTGTCAGTCCTCTTCATCTTCAATATTATGTTGGCTATTATAGGTTTTTTGTCTGCATATAAAATTTAAAATCAGTTTCTTGATAGCCCAAAATAACTTGCTGGGGTTTTGATTGAGATTGCATTGAATCTATAGATCAAGCTTAGAAGAATTGGACAACTTGACAATATTGGGTCTTTCTATTTATTTAGTTCTTCTTTCTTCAGAGTTTTGTCCTTTTCCTCATACAGTTCTTGGTACATAATTTGTTAGATTTATACCTAAGTATTTCATTTTGGGGTGCTAATATAAATTGGTATTATGTGTTTAATTTTAAATTTTACTTGTTTTCTGGTATATAAGAAAGTGATTGACTTTTGTATATTAACCTTGTATTCTGTAACCTTGTTGTAATAGCTTATTATTTCCTCCAGCACCATCTGTTGAAGAGGTGTAAAAGGCTATCTTTCCTCCTTTTGCACCATTGTCAAAAATCAATTGGGCATATTTATGTGGGCCTATTTTCAGGTTGTCTGTTATGTTCCATTAATCTCTATACTATACCTCTGCCAGTACCACACTCCCTTGATTACTTAGCTATATAGTTAGGCCTTCATATCAGGTAGAGTGTTTCTTCCCACTTTGTTCTCTTTTAAGACTGGTTTTTTGTTTGGTTTGGTTTTAGCTATTCTAGGGTCTGTGTCTATAAATTTTTGAATGAGGTTATTTTTGTCTATATAAAATGTTGGAGGAAGTGCATTAAATCTATAGGTAATGTTGAATTTGGGAGAATTGACATCTTTTTTATGTTGAATTTTTTTTTTTTTTTTTTTTTTTTTGAGACACAGTTTCGCTCTTGTTGCCCGGGCTGGAGTGCAATGGCATGATCTCAGCTCACCGCAACCTCCGCCTCCCAGGTTCAAGCGATTCTCCTGCCTCGGCCTCCCAAGTAGCTGGGATTACAGGCATGTACCACCACGCCTGGCAAATTTTGTATTTTTAGTAGAGACGGGGGTTTCTCCATGTTGGTCAGGCTGGTCTCGAACTCCTGACCTCAGGTGATCCCCCCGCCTCAGCCTCCCAATGTGCTGGGATTACAGGCGTGAGCCACCGCGCCTGGCTAATGTTGAATTTTCTAGATATTATAATATACATACCATACTTTTCACAGTCTGTTTTATTTTAGTAAAGGATAGAAAACTTACCTCCATATAGATTCATCTACTCTCTTTCCTTTATGTTATAGGTGTAATCTGCATTAAATATATACACATTGCAACTCCCTAGACAATTTATAATTTTACATATACATATATATTTTATATATATACAAAAGTCATATATACCAATTTTTTTGAGACGAAGTCTTGCTCTGTTGTCCAGGTGTCACGCCTGTAATCCCAGCAATATGGCGAAACCCCATTTCTACTAAAAATACAAAAAATTATCCGAGTGTGGTGGCACACGTCTGTAATCCCAGCTACTCAGAGTCTGAGACATGAGAATCACTTGAACCCAGGAGGCGGAACCCACTTGAACCCAGGAGGTTGCAGTGAGCCAAGCATCTGTCTGTTGGCAAATTTCTGTAACTTTTCCGTAGCTTGAGCATATATTTATTTCACCTTCTTCCTGAATAATATTTTTACTGGATATAAAATTGTGGGTTGTCTGGGCCTGGTGGCTTATGCCTGTAATGTCAGCACTTTGGAAAGCTGAGGCAGGAGGATCGCTTGAGACCAGGAGTTTGAGACCAGCCTGGGCAACATAGTGAGACCCCATCTTTATTTAAAAAAATCTGAGTTAGTGGTTCCTTTTTTTCATCCATTTAAAATGTTATTCTAGCTGGGTGCGGTGGCTCATGCCTGTAATCCCAGCACTTTGGGAGGCCAAGGCGGGCAGATCATTGAGGACAGGAGTTTGAGACAGCCTGGCCAACATGGTGAAACCCTGTCTCTACTAGTGGTGTGCACCTGTAATCCCAGCTACTTGGGAGGCTGAGACAGGAGAATCACTTGAAACTGAGAGGTGGAGGTTGCAGTGAGCCGAGATAGCACCACTGCACTCCAGCTTGGGAGACAGAGGAAGACTACATCTCAAAAAAAGGAAAATGCTATTCCAATATCTTCTGGTCTTTATGATTATTTATTCATTTATTGACTTAATTGACAATAGAAATTGTATATATTTATGGTGTATAACATGTTGTTTGATATATATATATATACACACATACACACACATTGTGGAACGGCTAAATCAGGTTAGTCAACATATCCATTATCTTATATATTTATTTTTTTGTGGTGAGAACACTTAAATGTTATAGTTTTTAGTGTACAGATATTTCACCTCCTTGGTTAAATTTATTACTGTTTTATTTTTTGTAGCAATTGTAAATGGGACAGTTTTCTCAATTTTTCAGATAGTTCATTGTAAGCGTATAGAAATGCTACTAAGTTTTATATGTTGATTTTACATCCTGAAACTTACTAAATTTATTAGTTCTAATAGTTTTTTGGTGGAGTCATTAGGATTTTATATATGTAAGATCATGTTATCTGTAAACAGAGAATTTAATTCCTACCTTTCTGAATTGGATAGCTTTTATTTCTTTTTCTTGCCTAATTGCTCTGGCCAGGACTTCCATAGGACTTCCAGTATTCTGTTGAATAGAAGTGGCGAGAGTGGGCATCCTTGTATTGTTCCTGATCTTATAAGAACACCATTAAGTATCATGTTAGCATGGCCGGGCATGGTGGCTCACACCTGTAATCCCAGCATTTTGGGAGGCAGAGGTGGGCAGATCATGAGGTCAAGCATTTGAGACTTCTAGGTCTACCTCACAATAAGAAGAACATAGATTTGAAGAATTCTGAAATGTTCAAGAATATATTAAGTGTGAAGGCTGAGTGCAGTGGCTCACACACATAATCCCAACACTTTGGGAGTCCAAGGTGGGAGGATCATTAAGCTAGGAGTTCAAGACCAGCCTGAGCAACATAGCAAGACCCCATCTCCCCATCTCTACAAAAAGAAAAAAAAAATAGCGAGGCATAGTAGCATACACCTGTAGTCCCAGCTACTCAGGAGGCTGAGGTGATTGTTTGAGCCCAGGAGTTCAAGGTTAAAGTGAGCTATGATCATGCTGCACTCCAGCCTGGGCAACAGAGTGAGATAGATACTGTCTCACAAGAAAAAAAAAAGATACTACATTGTATATTATATGTATTTACTACAATAGAAAATAATTTTTAAGTACTTGAATAGCTTCAGCGGAATATAGTCTCCAGTTTGCCACAGTCCCCACCATTCCACATTGTATTCCACTCAATACTCTCTCACATGGAGGTAGCCTGGACCTGAAGGACATGCCATGAAGGAGTGAATCAGGTGAGTTGGGTAGGAGATGGAGTTGAGGGAGTGTTCCAGGTGAACAAATGCCCAGAACATGAAAAGGCCATGATGTGTCTGAGGAACTGGAAGGTTCAGGTAGCCAAACTATGGAGGGAGGCCATAGCGTCCAACTCCTTTATGTGATACATGGAGAAACTGATGCCCAGAGAGAAAAGACTTGTTCAAGCCACACAAGTGGCAAGTGACAGACTCAGGACTAAACCCCAATTCTCCTGCCTCTCCAATGACCAACTTACACAAAAGACCTACTAATTCCTAATGAAGTCCCAGGGAGTGTCCAGGACCGGACCCATTCATACCAGCTGCCCACAGGGATTCATACCAATCAGGCAAGAGGCCCTGCTCCCAGGAATTGCTCCACAGTGTCCTCTGCTACTTCCTTGAGTGTGAGTCAGTGCTGAATTTACCAGTTGGCAGGTTTCAGGGGCTGGGATAAGGATCTGCCTTATCTCTACTTTCCTAGGGTGCATGATGACAGGAAAATACCTCTCCCAGCCACATGAGGATGCCTAGAATTTCACCATTCTCCCTTTCTTCCTCTCTCCTGTGTTTCAGTGCAAAATACCCTTGGAAGAAATAACCCTGTCATCTTAGTCTGAGTGTAGCCTGAAATCTGGAAAGCCAGAACCGGAAAGAAACCTAAAGATTAGCCAAGCAAACCCTCTTCTGTTACTCATGGGGAGTATAATCCCTGAGAGAAGAATTTAGGATTATCCAGTGACAAAGCCAGGGTGAAACCCTGGTATCCTGATTCCAGTCCAGGGTTCTTTCTACTGCTCCACTCATTAGGTCCTGTCCTAAGAATGTTTTCTTGGAGAAACAGAGGAGGGAAAGAAAAGAGGGCATCACAGAGGTGGGGAAAGGCATTAGAAAAAAAAACAGAAGGAAACTTGCCTTAACTTTATAATTTTTCAAGTCTGGTTTAGTTCCTTCTTTGATTCAACATGGACTTATTGAGATGTAGCCGCACTGGACCAATCTGGTTCAACTTTTTTTTTTTTCCTTTTTTTTTTTTCCCAATCTGGTTCAAGTTTTATGTAACAAAGTTGTGAGTTGTTTTTCAGTTGCCACGGACCCTCAGGTCACATAACCTGAGCGTGTCCAGATGAACCAGGTGTGTAACTATAGGGGGAATCTAATTGCTCAGACCCAAGAGCAGGGACTCAATTGAGAAGCAGACACTGGCTGGGCACAGTGGTTCATGCCTGAACTTTGGGAGGCCAAGGCAAGAGGATCACTTGAGCCCAAGAGTTTGAAACCATCCTGGATAACATAGTGAGACACCCCCCTCTACAGTTTATTTTTAAATTTGCTGGGTGTGGTGGCATGCACCTGTAGTCCTAGCTACTTGGGAGACTGAGGTAGGAGGATTGCTCGAGCCTAGGAGTTCAAGGTTATGCAGAGCTATGATCACGTTATTGCACTCCAGCCTGGGTGACAGAGTGAAATCCTGTCTCTAAAAAAATAAAAATAAATAAAAGTGGATACCGCGTAGCAGGATCCAGGACCCTGGATGGAGCTCTGGTATCACCCCAGAGCAGGATCCAGTCAGATAATGCCTCTCAGGATCACCTCACTGCAAGATCCAATCATATTACACCTCATTACATGCTACTACACAGATGAATCTTGAAAATACTCAACATTATATGAGGTACCTAAAACAGGCAAATTCACAGAGACAGAAAATAGGCTAGTGGTTACCAGGACCTAGGGGAAGGGGAAGTAATGGGAAGTTGAATTGTTCAATGGATACAGAGTTTCTGTTTGGGATGATTTAAAAGTTCTGGAAATAGTAATGATGGTCGTACAACCTCATGAAAGTACTTAATACCATTCAAAGGATCTGAATAGATATTTCTCTACAGAAGACATACATATTCAGGAGGCTGAGGTGGGAAGATGGTTTGAGCCCAGGAGTTCAACTCCAGCATGGGCAACATAGCAAAACTCTGTCTTTAAAAAAAAAAAAAAAAAAAGGAAAAAAGACATACAGATGACCAACAGATGTGAAAAAAATGCTCAATACTCAACAGTACTACTCATCAGGAAAATACAAATTAAAAGCACAATGAGATATCATCTCACCCCAGTTAAAATGGCTTATTATCAAAAGGACAAAAAAATAGCAGATGCTGGTCAGGATGCAAAGAAAGGGGAAAGCTAGTGGGAATGGAAATTAGTATTGCCACCATGGAAAACAGTGTGGAGGTTCCTCAAAAAACTAAAAACAGATCTACCATCCCATTACTGGGTATATATCCAAAGGATTATAAATCATGCTGCTATAAAGACACATGCACACGTATGTTTATTGCAGCACTATTCACAATAGCAAAGACTTGGAACCAACCCAGATGTCCATCAATGATAGACTGGATTAAGAAAATGTGGCACATATACACCATGGAATACTATGCAGCCATAAAAAAGGATGAGTTCATGTCCTTTGTAGGGACCTGGATGAAGCTGGAAACCATCATTCTGAGCAAACTATCACAAGGACAGAAAATCAAACACTGCATGTTCTCACTCATAGGTGGGAATTGAACAATGAGAACACTTGGACACAGAGTGGGGAACATCACACACCAGGGCCTGTAGTGGGGTGGGGGGAGGGATAGCATTTGGAGATATACCTAATGTAAATGATGAGTTAATGGGTGCAGCATACCAACATGGCACATGTATACATATGTAACAAACCTGCACGTTGGGCACATGTACCCTAGAACTTAAAGTATAATAAAAAAGAAATAGATCTACTATATGATCCAGCAATCCCACTGCTTGGTGTATACCCAAAAGAAAGGAAATTGTGTATTAAAGACATATGTGCACACCCATGTTTATTGCAGCAGTACTCACAAAAGGTGAGATATGGAAGGAACCTAAATGCCCATCAACTGATAAATGAGAAAAAATGTAGTATATATACACAATGAAATACTATTCAGCCACAGAAAAGAATAAAGTCCTGTCATTTGCACCAACACAGATGGAACAGGAGGCCATTATGTTAAATGAAAAAGGCCAGGCACAGACGACAAATATATGTTCTCCCTCATACGCAGGAAAAGTGTATCTCATGGAGGTGGAAACTAGAATGGTAGATACTGGAGGCCAGGAAGGGTAGCAGGGGGAATAAAGAGAGGTTGATTAATGGGTACAGACAATTAAATGGAAGGAATAATTTCTAGTGTTCAATAGCACAATACAGTGATTATAGTTAACAATAACTTATTGTATTTTGCAAAATAGTTAGAAGATCTGAAATGTTCCTAACACAAAGAAACAATAAATGTTTGAGGTGAGGCTGTATGCAGTGGCTTACACCTATAATTCCAGCATTTTGGGAGGCCAAGACAGGCAAATTGCTTGAGCCCAGAAGTTCAAGACCAGCCTGGGCAACAAGGCAAAACTCCATCCCTACAAAAAATAGAAAAAATTAGCCATGGGTGGGTGCGGTGGCTCATGGCTCATGCCTGTAATCCTAGCACTTTGGGAGGCCGAGGTGGGCAGATCACTTGAGGTCAGGAGTTCAAGACCAGCCTGGCCAACACGGTGAAACCCCGACTCTAGTAAAAATGTAAAAATTAGCTGGAAATCACTTGAACCCGGGAGCTGGAGGTTGCAGTGAGCCGAGATCATGCCACTCCACTCCAGCCTGGGCAACAGACCGAGACTCAGTCTCAAAAAAAAAAAAAAAAAATTCAGCCGAGCGTGGTGGTGAGCAACTGTAGTTCCAGGAACTCAGGAGGCTGAGGTAGGAGAATCACCTGAGCCTGGGAGGTTGAGGCTGCAATGAGCCGTGATCATGCCACTGCATTCCAGCCCCTGGGTGTTGGAGTAAGACTCTGTCTCAAAAAAAAAAAATTTTTTTTTTGAGGTGATGAATATCCTAATTAGCCCAAATTAATCATTTCAGATTATATGCCTGTATCAAAATATCACATGAACCCTTTAATATGTGTAATTTTTTTTTTTTTGAGATGGAATCTCGCTCTGTCACCCAGGCTGGAGTGCAGTGGCGCGATCTCGGCTCACTGCAAGCTCCGCCTCCCGGGTTCACACCATTCTCCTGCCTCAGCCACCCAAGTAGCTGGGACTACAGGTGCCTGCCACCACGCTGGCTAATTTTTTTGTATTTTAGTAGAGACGGGGTTTCACCATGTTAGCCAGAATGGTCTCGATCTCCTGATCTTGTAACCCACCCGCCTCGGCCTCCCAAAGTGCTGGGATTACAGGCGTGAGCCACCACGCCCGGCTTTAATATGTATAATTATTATGTATCAATGAAAATAATTTTTAAAAAGAAAGTACTTCATGCCACTGAGTTGTTTACTTAAAAAATGGTTTACTAGGTAAATTTAATATTGTGTATATTTTGCTACAATTTTTTTTAAAGTAGCTAGCTGCTCCTTCTAAATTGAGGATGATGGCTGTGGAAGTTGTCTCATGCTGCTGTTCAGTAAAAATTAAATTCACACCAGGTGCAGTGGCTCATGTCTGTAATCCCAGCACTTTGGGAGGCCGAGGCAGGCGGATCACTTGAGGTCAGGAGTTCAAGACCAGCCTGGCCAACATAGTGAACCCTCCTCTCTACTAAAAATACAAAAAATTAGCCAGGCATGGTGGTGTGTGCCTGTAATCCCAGCTACTCAGGATGCTGAATCACTTGAACCCAGGAGGCAGAGGTTGCAGTGAGCTGAGATGGCACCACTGCACTCCAGCCTGGGTGACGGAGTATGACTCTGACTCAAAAAATAATAAGAAAAGTAAAAATAAATTTGCTTCTTCTCTCCAACCCTGACATAAAAATTGACAAAGATGGTTTGCTTGACCAAACTTTTTTTTGTTTTTTTTGAGACAGAGTTTTGCTCTTGTTGCCCAGGCTGGAGTGCAATGATGCAATCTCGGCTCACCACAGCCTCCGCCTCCTGGGTTCAAGCGATTCTCCTGCCTCAGCCTCCTGAGTAGCTGGGATTACAGGCATGCACCACCACACCCGGCTAATTTTGTATTTTTAGTAGAGACAAGGTTTCTCCATGTTGATCACGCTGCTCTCGAACTCCTGACCTCAGGTGATCCGCCTGCCTCGGCTTCCTAAAGTGCTGGGATTACAGGCATGAGCCACCGCGCCCAACCTTGGCCAAACTTTAATCAGGTTCCTGAACCTTCTCCTAGGCCAATATATGTGTACTTCTTCATAAAATACCGTTTCAGTAAAGAATCCTACTAAGTCAGTTTTGCAAAAACACCCCTACCCTTGATACCTGATCACCCTCAATATCTGATCAGGTTCCTCATCCTCTACCATCATTCAGGTAATGACTGATCACCCTGGCCTATCTTCAGCAGGAATCCTGTTAGGTCGGTTTAGCCAGAATTCCACTTCCCCCAATACCTCCTCTTAGTAATTTTCCATTCACTGGCCCCCCACCCTGCCCCTTGGCTACTAATTCCCTCTTGTTCATGCTATATTCAGAGTTAAACACAATTTCTCTCCCTCCCACTACAATATCCCATTGTTCCTACACCTATCATGATGGTCTTGAAAAAAGTCTTCGTTACAGTGCTTTAACCAGTGTCTTTGGATTTTTTTTTCTTAACAAAACACAAATGGTTAAGATCCTAGTGGTTAAGAACAAAGGTTTTGTAGTCAGAACACAGCTGCACATCAAAGTTTGCTTCTGTGAATTGCCAGTTATGTGAACTTGGCAAGCTATATCAAAAAGACTGATGTGTCAGGAGGTAAGGGGAAAGGGGAGGGACAAATACCTAATGCATGTGGGGCTTAAAACCTAGATGATGGGTTGATAGGGGCAGAAAACCACCATGGGTCTATGTATACCTATGTATACATAGGTATAACTATGTAACATGTATACCTATGTATACATAGGTATAACTATGTAACATGTATACCTATGTATACATAGGTATAACTATGTAACATGTATACCTATGTATACATAGGTATAACTATGTAACATGTATACCTATGTAACATGTATACCACATGTATACCTATGTAACAAACCTGCATGTTCAGCACATGTATCCCGGAACTTAAAGTAAAATTAAAAAAAAAAAAAACACTGATGTGCATATAATCCCTTCGGGTACTGGGACTTTACCACAGCCTCAGTCTTCCTGTGAGAAACAATTGGAGTGCTAATATCTGATTCATGGGTTGTTACGAAGACTAGGTGAGACAGTATATGTAAATTGCTTAATACAGTTTTGAGCATTTAGTGAGCACTCAATGAATAGAAACTAATATTCTTCTTCTTTTTTTTTTTTTTTTTTTGTGAGATAGAGCCTCCCTTTGTTGCCCAGGCTGGAGTGCAGTGGCGTGATCTCGGCTCACTGCAACCTCCGCCTCCCAGGTTCTAAGTGAGTCTCCTCCCTCAGCCTTCAGAGTAGCTGGGATTACAGGCGCACACCACTATGCCCAGCTAATTTTGTATTTTTAGTAGAGACAGGGTTTCACCATGTTGGCCAGGCTGGTCTCGAACTCATGACCTCAGGTGATCCACCCACCTCGGCCTCCCAAAGTGCTGGGATTACAGGCGTGAGCCACCACCTCCATCCAGAAACTAATATTCTTAATTTTTTGCTTAGTCTGCCCTTCCAAACTTAAGAGTCATCTGAGGATTTGACGGGTTTGGGGTTTGGCTTTGGATTTTGGTTTTGTTTTGTGGGTGTGTGGTTGTATTAGGTTTTTTTATTTGTTTTTGCTATGTATGTACAATTGGGTAGATAAGAACCCTGGCACATGTGGCAAGTTCTTTGCAAGGTTATTTGTGTTCTAGGGAATATGTAGACTTATGTAGATACACACTCCATGGCAGGCACGTGTTTGCACATGGGCAGCTGAGCAGGTGTGTGCACATGTATCTATGGATATATATAAAACACTGTTTCCTTAGAAGACTTTGTCACCAATGAACTAATTCAAAAGTCATTTTCTCTTACTTATCATGGTATCGGCAGAGGTTAGTGAATGGGAAGATAATTAAAGAGTAATTGGTCAAAGGGGAAGATTGCGTTTTAATTGAAGTCTCTTATCCTACCCAAAGGTTCTAGATATTAGAGAGAAATGTGATGACTGGTCATAAAAATTCTGGTCTGTAGGTTGTTGTGGATCACCAGGCTGTACATTTCACAAGGTCTCCTGGGTCCACTGCCAGTCTTCCCAGTCAGAGGAAGGAAGACTGATCTCAGGTGCATCTCATCTTGGGATACCCTTTGTGCTGCTGATACCCTTTCTGGAGAGGGTCTCTGCGGGATTAGGGAAGCTAAAGCTCTAGGAGGCAGGACCTCTGAGTTCTGACAGGCCTCTGCAGCCGATGCACTTTACCACGCCAGGACTCCAAGGTCACATCTACAGAGGAGTGCAGTGTGCAGTGGTTAGGAGCACAGGCATTAAAGTCAGACAAACTCGGGCTTAGCTTCCAGTACCTCTACCTCTCAACCGGTAAATGTGTGATTCTGTGACTTCCTCTTTCTGAGCCTCTGTTTCTTCAACTATAAAACGTGGATTTTTAAAATTCCTATCTCAACAGGTTATTGTGAAAATTAAAATTTTGCATTGAAAGTCCCTTGCGTATTATCTGGCATAAGGTGGTATTTAATTAATAATAATGACTCATACTTATTGAACATACCATGAGAGGTCTCATTTAGTCCTTACAACAACCCAGAGTGGTAGATACCATTATTATCCCCATTTTACAGATGAAGAAACTGAGGCACTGGTCCCAGTTAACACAGCTAGTAAGAGGGGAATTTGAGTTTAGGCACTCTCACTCTCTTACACTATCTCCCAGGCTGGAGTGATCAGAGCTCACTGCAGCCTCAAACTTCTGGGCTCAAGTGATCTCCCTGCCTCAGCCTCCCAAGTAGCTGGGACTATAGGTGAATGCTACCACACCTGGCTAATTTTCTAACTTTTTTTTTTTTGGTAGAGATGGGGTCTCGCTGTGTTGCCCAGGCTGGCCTGGAACCCCTAGTCTCAAGTGGTCCTCCAGCCTCAGCCTCCCAAAGTGCTAGGATTATAGGCATGAGCCACTGCACCTGGCCAGATCCCTCTAATGTTAATGTGCATCCTCTCCCCCTGCTTCACTCCTAGGCTTTAGCCACCAATCACTTATTCACTCAACAGACATGCATTGAGCTCCTGGCACATAGTAGATGCTCATGACCTTGAGGATAGAGCACCAAATAAAATAAAGTCTCTGCCCTTGCACTGCTGAGAACTAAACAATGAGGCCAGGTGCAGTGGCTCACACCTGTAATCCCAGCACTTTGGGAAGCCAAGGTGGGTGGATCACCTAAGATCAGGAATTCTAGACCAGCCTGTTCAACATGATGAAACCCCGCCTCTACTAAAAATACAAAAATTGGCCAGGTGCAGTGGCTCACGCCTTTAATCCCAGCACTTTGGGTGGCTGAGGCAGGCGGATCACGAGGTCAGAAGTTCAAGACCAGCCTGGCCAACATGGTAAAACCCCATCTCTACTAAAAATACAAAAATTAGCCAGGTGTGATGGAGCGCACCTGTAATCCCAGCTACTGGGGAGGCTGAGGCAGGAGAATCGCTTGAACCCAGGAGGTGGAGGTTGCAGCGAGTCGAGATCACATCACTGCACTCCAGCCTGGGCAACAGAGCAAGACTATGAAATAAATAAACAAACAAACAAACAAAAATTAGCTGGATGTGCTGGCAGGCACCTATAATCACAGCTACTTGGGAGGCTGAGATGGGAGAATCGCTTGAACCTGAGAGGCAGAGGCTAAAGTGAGCCAAGATGGTGCCACTGCACTCCAGCCTGGGTGACAGAGCAAGACTCCATCTCAAAAAAAAAAAAAAAAAAAGAGAGGAGCCAGCCATCTGGAAAACCAGAGGAAGAGTCATATCAGAGGCCCTAAGGTGGGAATAAACTTGGCTGGAATGATCTAAGAAGGGACAGAAAGGCAGTGTGGCTGGAGCAATAAGCAGGAGGAGATGCCTGAGATGAGCCCTTTCCCTCTGTGGAGGTCCAGACTTACAGTTCACAAGCTGAGAGAAGACACCTCCCTGGGTGGTGCCCAGACCCCTTGAATGTCATTTGTCCAAAACAGAAGACATTACTCTCTCCACCCAAACCTCCTTCCTCCTCTTCCCTGGCCAGCACAACCAAACACGCAGTTGCCCGAGCTAAAGACCTTAAACATCTTGAATTTGTCCTCTCCTCTCTCACCACCATGACCCCTGCCTTGGTTCAGACCTTGTCATCAGTCACTTGAGCCATAGAACTGACCCCCTAACTGCCCTCCCTGCCTCTAGACTCTTCAGCTCCAACACCTCCCTCAGGCCAGACAGAGCGTCTCAAAACAACCAGGTGAACATATAACTCCCCCAGTGTAAAAACCCTCACGGTTCCTTTTTGGCTCAGGATGAACTCTAACCTCCTTGGCCTGGCATATAACATCCTTCCTTGTTCTGAAACCATATTTTCAGCCTCATCTCCCACTAGTCGTCCACATGTCTTGGAGCACCAAACATACCCAGTTACTCTTCATACCTGCCAGGAACAGCACAAGCGGTTCCTTCTTCCTAGAATTCCTCCTCTTCTTAGAATTCCTCTCTTGGCCCTCTGTGCCCACAGAACTACAGTTCAACATTTAAGATGCATTCTAGCCAGGGCAACAAAGCAAGACCCTAACTCTACGAAAAATTTTTAAAATTAGCTTGGCACAGCGGCACATGCCTGTAGTCCTAGCTACTTGGGAGGCTGAGGCAGGAGGATCACTTGAGCCCAGGAGTTTGAGGCTGCAGTGAGCTATGATCACGCCACTGCACTCCAGCCTGGATGACAGAGTGAGATTCTATCTCTTAAAAAAAAAATACAGCTCATCTCTTCATTAAATTCTTTTCTGACACCCCCAAGCAGAACTACCCACCCTACCATCCTAGTTCCCATAGCACATTATATTTATCACGTAATGTTAAAAGATAAACTTAGGCACATTACAATGTTAAAGAGTTTATTTTAGCAGACAGTGATTCATAAATCAGGTAGCACCAGACCACAAGCAATTTTGCACTGCACTGGGGGATGGGGGTGAGAAACTTTCATAACGTGTTTGTGGAAGAAAGACAAAGAAAATATATTTGATTGGTTAGAGCAAAAAGTCCCTATTTAGAAGTTAGTTAGACGTTTCTGATTGATGAAATCTCTAATTCTGTTTTACTGTTTACAGTGGGGCTTAATATGCTGGAGCCATGTCAGCCTATGGCTTCCCAATTAAAAATTTTATCTGGGTGCAGTGGCCCACACTTGTAATCCCAGCACTTCGGGAGGCCAATGTGGGCAGACTGACTGAGCCTAGGAGTTCAAGGCCAGCCTGGGCAACATGGCAAAAGCCCATCTCTTAAAAAAAAATAAGAATTAGCCAGATGTGGTGGCACGTACCTATAGTCCCAGCTACTAGGGAAGCTAAGGTGGCAGGATCACTTGACCCCAGGAAGTCGAGGCTGCAGTGAACTATGATCGCATCACTACACTCCAGCCCAGGTGACAGAGTGAGACCCTGTCTCAAAAAATAAATAAATAAATAAAAATTTAACAGTAGCCATAATACTCATCAAATGTGTTTCTCAGGCTGGGTACAGTGGCTCATGCCTGTAATCCCAGTACTCTGGGAGGCCAAGACAGGTGGATTGCTTAAGCCCAGGAGTTCAAGACCAGCCTGGGTAACACAGGGAGACCCTGTCTCTTCAAGAGAAAAAAAAAAAAAGTATTTCTGATTATCTGCTTATATGTCTCTCACCACCAGGGTGAGCTAAGAAGAGCCGAGACCCTGTCCTGTTGAGCACAATGCCTACTACACAAGAGATGCTCAATAAGTGTTTGTTGGATGAATGAGTAAAATATTGATAAAGAGAGCATAGAAAAAAATCAATGAGCCCGAAAGGATCAAATTCCCAGCCTTGGTCTCATTAGCACAAATGAGAATCTACAAGACAGAACGGAGGCCAAGAACAAACCAAAAACTAACCTTGTCTTGTCACCTGTGAATCACAGATCGTCAGAGCTCACCAAAGACCAAGGAGATACTATGACCTTGAGACAAGTTATTTGTCCAATTCCCCAGTCAGGTGTCAACAGAGCAGAACTGGAAGCCAAGACTCCTGCCTCCTAGTCGTAGAAATTTTTATACAGGCCAGCTTCTGTCCAGAGTTTAAAGACAAGAGAAGCATGGTTATCTTGTACACAGGAGCTCCAAGAAGGTACCCCGTAGCTCAAGGTGCCAAAAGCATAGTCAAGCTCTGTTATGGGTTCAATTGTGTCTCATCCCTCAAAAAAATTCACATTGAAGTCTTAACTCCCAGTAGCTCAAAATGGGAGCTTATTTGGAGATAGGGTCTTTAAAGAGGTCATCAAATTAAAATAAGGTAATTAGGGTGGGCCCTAATCCAATGTGACTGTTGTCCTAATAAAAAGGGGAAACTTGGACACAGAGACACACATACAGTGAAAATGCCATGCCAATAAGAAGACTGCTATCTATAAGCCAAGGAGAGAGGCCTGGCATAGATCTTCCCTCAAGGCCCTCAGAAGGAACCAACCCCGCCAACACCTTGATTTCAGACTTCTACCCTCCAGAACTGTGAGACAATAACTTTCTATTGTTTAAGCCACCAGGTTTGTGGGACTTTGTTATGGTAACCCTAGCAAATGAATGCAAGAGTACTACAGCAACGGTTCCCAAAGTGTGGTCCCTGAACCAGCAGCATCAAAACACATGGGATTTGTTAGACAAACAAGACCTACCAATCAGAAGGTCTGGGGATGGGGCTTAGCAAGCTATGGTTCAGCAGGTCCTCCAGGTGATTCTGATGCACACTAAATTTAAGAACCAGTGCTTTAGAGCTACTCTATCTATACTGGGTTGATTGTTGTCTTCCCAAAATTCATGTCCACCCAGAACCTCAGAATGTGACTTCATTTGGAAATAGGGTCTTTGCAGTTGTAATTAGTAAAGATGAGGTCATACGGGATTAGGATGGGCCCTAAATCCAATGGCTGGTGTGCTTATAAAGATAGCAAGATTTGGAGACATACACACACACACACACACACACACACACACAAGGAGAATGCCATGTGACAATGGAGGCAGAGACTGAAGTGATGCATCGACAAGCTAAAGAACACCAAGGGTGCCAGAAGCCCTCAGAAGCTGGAGGAGAGGCCAGGAAGGATTCTTCCCTAGAGCCTTCAGAAGCAGTATGGCTCTGCTAACACCTTGTTTATTCACTCATAGCCTCTGGAACTATGAAAAAATTAATTTCCATTGTTTTAAGTGACCCAATTTGTGGTAATTTGTTACAGCAGCCCTCAGAAAATAATACCCTATTGAATACAGGAGTCACAGGCACAAATAACTATTTAAATTTACATTCATTAAGATGAAATAAAACTGAAAATTGAGTTCCTCAAGTCACCCTGGGCACATTTCAAGTGCTCAGTAGCCACATAGGGCTCATGGCTACTGTATTTGACAGCACAAATATAGAACATTTCCATCAGAACAGAAAGTTATATCAGACATCACTACTACCACAGAGCAGGGTCAGCTAGGTATGGCCCATGGGCTAAACTTAGCCCACCATGGTTTTTTGTGTTGTCTATAAACTAATAATGGTTTTTACTTTCTTTTTTTTTTTTTTTTTTTTTTTAAGAGATGGGGTCTCACTCTGTCACGCAGGCTGGAGTGCCATGGCGCCATCATAGTTCACTGCAGCCTCCAACTCCTGGGCTTAAGCAATTTTCTTGCCTCAGCCTCCTAAGTAGCTGGGACTACAAGCACACACCACCTACACCTGGCTTGATTTTCACTTTTTTTTTTTTTTTTTTTTTGAGACAGGGTTTCACTCTGTCACTCAGGCTGGAGTGCAATGGCACACTCTCTGCTCACTGCAGCTTCCGCCTCCCGGGCTCAAGCAATCCTTTCACCTCAGCCTCCCCAGTAGCTAGGACTACAAGCAGTCGCCACCATGTCCAGCTTATTTTTATATATATTTTTGGAGCGATGGAGTTTCACCATATTGCCCAGGCTGGTCTTGAACTCCTGGGCTCACGCGATCCTCCCCCTCAGTCAGCCTCCCAAAGTGCTGGGATTACAGGTACATGCCACCACGCCCAGCCAATTTTTACATTTTTTAATGGTTCTCACTCATAGGTGGGAATTGAACAACGAGAACACATGGACACAGGAAGGGGAACATCATACAGCGGGGACTGTTGTGGGGTGGGGGGAGGGATAGCATTAGGAGATATACCTAATGCTAAATGATGAGTTAATGGGTGCAGCACACCAACATGGCACATGTATACATATGTAACAAACCTGCACGTTGTGCACATGTACCCTAAAACTTAAGGTATTATAATAATAAAAAAAAAGAAAAAATATAAGAAGAAGACTATTTCAAGACATATGAAAATCACATGAAATTCAAATTTCATTGCCTGGAAATGGTTACTGGAACATGTTCATGATCATCCACTTACATATTATCTATGACTGCTTTTGTGCTACAATGGCAGTCAAGTCATTGTGACAGAGACCATATGCCCCACAAAATAAGATATTTACTAGCTGGCCTATTACAGAAAAAGTTGACCAACTCTTGCTCTAGAGGGTAATGAAGGGAGACAAGAAGAGGGTATAAAAACAAATTGGCACAAGAGGGACCTGCTTTGAGATGTCCACAGGCATGTGCTGCCCAGTCTACAGCTCAGCAAACTTTCCAGATCAGAGTGAAAGCAAGGAGGTTATATACTACTTTTTACTTATATACACATACATATACTAGACATATAAATAATATCAATGTATATACACACGTTGCCTAACAAATCCCAGGTAATGCTGATGCTGTTGGTCCAAGAACCACACTTTAAGAACCACGGCTCTAGGGCACTTGCATTCATTTGCTAGGGCTACCATAACAAAGTCCCACAACTGGTGGCTTAAACAACAGAAATTTATTGTATCGGCCAGGTGCAGTGGCTCACGTCTGTAATCCCAGCACTTTGGGAGGCCGAGGCGGGCGGATCACGAGGTCAGGAGTTCCATACCAGCCTGGCCAACATAATGAAACCCCGTCTCTACTAAAAATACAAAAATTAGCTGGGTGTGGTGGCGGGCACCTGAATCCCAGCTACTCAGGAGGCTGAGGCAGAGAATTGCTTGAACCTGGGAAGCAGAGGTTGCAGTAAGCCAAGATCACGCCACTGCACTCCAGCCTGGGCAACAGCGCCAGACTCTGTCTCAAAAAAAAAGAAAAAGAAAAAGAAATTTTTTGTCTCACAGTTCCGGAGGCTAGAAGTCTGAAACTCACACATGTACATTATATATGTACACACACATGCATACATAAAATATGCATAGAGAAGGGACTAGAGGGACTATTCTCAGGCACTAATAATGGCCATCTAAGGGAGAAGGGGAGAATGGGACTGTAGGGATTATTTCTTCTGCTATCATTGCTCTCTGTGTTTTCTGATTAATCTGTAATTAGGTGATATTGCTTTTTTAACAAGGAAAAGAAAAATCTGCCTAATTCTGAAACCAAGCTCCGAACCTCCAGACTAGATCCTAAAGGCTGGGCCTCCCTGGCTGCCTTTGTCTTTTCATCACACTAAATACCTTCATGCTCTCTTTCCCCATCAAAATTAGCTCTCAGGAAAGGATCTGTTCCCTCCCCCACACCCACTTTACACTGAGTTATGTCATCAACTGATTCAAAGTTTGCTATGAATGTCCCTCCCAGAGCAAAATAGCATTGTGAAAAAGATCAAAGCCTAGAGCTGTGGGCATGAAGCCCTTCTAGTGAAATGGTAGCTATCAGTTAGCCAGGCAGGAACATGGAGGGCCTTCTGGTCACCCCTGAAGTCCCCAGGGCAAGGGAACTGCCCACCTCAGTTACCTGCAGGAGCCTATCCAGTGTGCAATCCTAGGCTCTGCACCCAGAAACAATCAACAAATACAGCTACACTTACAAGTTAGGATCCAAACTCTCAATCCTCCCCAACACTAGGTAAAAACCTCTGAAACCCAGTCCACTTTTAAGACCTAGAAAAGGTACTAGACTCTGTCTCTGGAGACCTGAGCTCAAATCCCTGCATTGCCAACTAACTCCCTGTGAAATCTCAGTCCCTCTATCTGTCTTCCGTTTTGCTTCTGGAATCGGGTCAGGCTTGAGCAGGGTGACCTCCAAGTTCCCCCTCAGCTCTGCTCTGGGCTGCTCTGGATCCCCAGGTTGTGTGTATGTATGCCTGGGACAGGGTCCAAGGGGCCAAAAAGATTAACCATTGGGCTGGGTCAGTTCCAGGAAGGACTCAAAAATTAACCTCGTCACTCTGGTTTTCCCTTTTAATCTTTACCTGTAACTCTGATGTGGCATCATTCCTCTCCTGCCTCCGTAGACCAAGGGCCATCCTGACTCTTCCACTCAGAATACTCCATTACCCCCAATCCCCACCATCTACCCAACCAAATTCAGCCAATCCTCACTACCTCCATGAAACCTTCTCTGACTTCCCAAAGCCCCAAGACCACAACATCTTTAGCACCTCTCTATACTATACTCTATCCCAGTATACGGCTGACTGCTTGGGGTCATAGTGACCAGCCTCTGTGGGTATTCTTGGTTGGCCTACCCCCTAGAGAATAGAAAGTATGCTGTCTTTAGCCCTTTATTATATGAACTGCACAGGGCTCAGCACAGGTTCATTTTTGAGGATGCCAGACTATGTGAAATGCTTTTCACCCAGCTGAAAAGTAAGTCCTGGCTGCTAGGAAAAGTTCTTAATGTTCTTAACTCTTCAAAGCACCTGTAGCTCCCTTAGCTCCTTGGATCCTTTACAGGAACCCCGTGAAACAAGTAACCATGTAAATGAGAATCCCGAGTCCATGAAAGTGAAGCAATTTGCTTAAGTCCATGCAGCAAGTTGGTGGTAGAACCCAAAACTCAAGCCAGAGTTCTTGCCTCCTAGTCTTGGACTTTGAAATGTGCAGCACACAGTGAAATCATAGCATCACCCTCTTTTTAAGAAAAAAAAAAAACAGCAGGCTGGGGCTGCCTCCATACCAACATGTGAACACACAAACACACACACAAACACTTCATAAGTATCTTCACACTGGCTCCAGCCTGCTTGGGGATTCACCCTTTTAGAATCTTAAGACTGTTTTCCTCCACCTATTATCACGGTTCTTAACTTTTTTTTTTTTTCAGGCAAGAGTCTCACTGTTGTCTCCAAGGCTGGAGTGCAGTGGTGTGATCATGGCACACAGTAACCTCCTACTTCTGGGCTCAGGTGATTCTCCCATCTCAGGTTCCTGATTAGCTGGGACTACAAGCATGCACCAACCACCTCTCCTGGCTAAGCTGGCTTTTTCTGTTTTGTTTTTTTTTTTTTTTTTTTTTTTTTTTGGTAGAGATGAGGTCTCACTATGTTGCCCAGGCTAGCAGTAAACTCCTGGCCTCGGGCAATCATCCTGCCTTGGCCTCCCAAAGTGCTGAGATTACAGGCATGAGCCACCATGCTAGCCCTATCATGATTCTTTAAGGAAACAACAGCCAAGGGCAGCTCCCAGCCAGCCCAGTACATTTTCTCCAAGAGATTGCAAGAAGCCAAGAGACACTGAACTTGGTCCTACTTGTAGTGGTGAGGTCTCCTCAGCCCCTTCCCTCCTCCTGCTGTGCAAAATCTAGAGAAGAGAGAAATGAAAGTTCTGGAGTGTCTATTACTTTGCTAGGTCTGCCATAACTAAATATCACAGGCTGGATGGCTTAAATAACAGAAATGTATGTTCTCACAGTTCTGGAAGCTAGATGCCCAAAATTAAAGGCAGCAGGTTTGTTATCTCCTTGAGACTCTCTCCTTGGCTTGCAGATGGCCGTCTCCTCCCTTGTCCTCACGTGGTCTTTCTTTTTGTGCATGCATCCTTGATGCCTCTTCGTACGTTCAAATTTCCTCTTTTTTTTTTTGGTTTTTTTTTTGAGATGGAGCTTCACTCTTGTTGCCCAAGCTGGAGTGCAATGGCGCCATCTCGGCTTAATGCAATCCTGCCTCCCAGGTTCAAGCAATTCTCCTGCCTCAGCCTCCCGAGTAGCTGGGATTACAGGCACGTGCCACCACACCCGGCTAATTTTTTGTATTTTTAGTAGAAACAGGATTTCACCATGTTAACTAGGCGTATCTCGAACTCCTGACCTCAGATGATCCACCCGCCTCGGCCTCCCAAAGTGCTGAGATTACAGGTGAGAGCCACCACGCCTGGCCCACATTTCCTCTTATAAGGATGTCAGATTGGATCAGAGCCCACCCATATGACCTCACTTAACCTTAATTATCTCTTTAAAAGACCTCTCCCCAAATATAGTCACATTCTGAGGTATTGTGGGTTAGGACTTCAACATATAAATTTTAGCAGGGGATACAATTCAGTTCATAACAGAGTGTGTGCAGGCATCCCAGCATACAACCGAGAGGTGGTCTTTCCAGTCCAAAAACGATGTTCTGAACATCATGGCGACCCACATTTGCATATTAAAGGACTAAGGTGGGAGGGCCAGGTTTTTCTTCGGCTACGTAAATGACACACCTGGTCAAACCAATCCCCTGGGCCCTATGCAGACCAGACACCGCCTCCTCCAGCATCCCAATATAAGCAACCACTTTTTCCGCCACACACGGGGTTTCTCTTTGTTCCGAGCCCCCACCTCTGTCTCTGTACAGGGGAGCTGTTTTCTTCTTTTTTTCTTCTTTCTTGCCTATTAAACTGTTTGCTCCTTAAAACTACTCCGTGTGTGTCCGTGTCACTTACCTACATTGGCGCAAGACCAAGGACCCTGGTGTTCCTCCAGTCATCGGAGCCATATCAGTAGGCACCACCTCTGCCATGCCGCCGGATCATTCAGGAATCTGTAAATTTACATACATATTCATATGCATGTATCTATTCCGTGCTGGTGTGTACGGACAGGTGTATTTATGCTATTGTGTTTGGTCTGAATGTGTGTGTGTGTTGTGTAGGTATAATGTGAACATGCATGTGTATCTACAGGTACCCTCCTGCAAATATCTACATGTGTGGATGAGTGTGTGGGTGGGCACAAATATTTGTTCATTCACTGTGCACTCATCAGTTCAACAAAGATGTATTGGTGTTGCAGGCACTGTGCCAAGTTCTGAAGATGAGTAAGACACAGTATACAGATGCGTGTATACCAGGGTACATGAGTGGTAGATGCGTATTCCAGTACTATGTAGGTGCCTGTGAAAACTTTGCATAAACTAAGAGAGTTCCTGATTGCACCTTTAGCATCTCTTGATGCTAAAAGACGCTGCAGTGGTCTCTCCCCAAGCCCCAAGGATCAGATTCCAACAATCCCCATGGAAGCCTCAGGCAACAGAGGCATCCTCTGCCCACCACTCCACTTGGGTGGAAGGCTAAAGTTCTGGGTCCCTCATCATCATCCCAGCCACTCCACCCTCCCCACCCATTGAGAGGTGAGACAGCATTTCTTGATAACAGGGCACCAAGAGTCCAGGCCACTGGAAGCCACCTGACATTCACATGGTTTTATGGTTTCACAGTTAATATTTGGCCTTGGGTTATTTCTGCTCTAAGAGGTAAGCCAGAAAAGGCAGGAGGAGAGATGGGGACAGGAGAGATAAGGTGCTAGGTCACCTGCACAAGGCACCTGCCCTGGTAGCTGCCTCGAGCACCATTATATATGTGCAGAGTTCCAGGTCCTGCCAAAGGAGGGAGGTATCCAAAGAAGGAGAGACAAAAGCCTTCAGGAGCATGGCTGGGAAAGAGAGCCCTTTGCAAAACACTCCCCAGGAGCCTAGAATCCCCCTCTACAACCTCCTAAGGAATCCAGGAAGCCTCTCTACCAATAGCCAGGCTGTGCTTGGTCACCTTCCAGGACATGAGGAGCTCACTACCTTCAGGATGCTCTCTTTTTTGTTTTTTCTTTCTTCTTTCTTTTTTTTTTTTTTTTTTTTGAGATGGAGTTTCGCTCTTGTCGCCCAGGCTGGAGTGCAATGGCGCAATCTCGGCTCACCGCAACCTCCGCTTCCCAGGTTCAGGCGGTTCTCCTGCCTCAGCTTCCTGAGTAGCTGGGATTACACGCACCTGACACCATGCCCAGCTAATTCTTTTTATTTTTAGTAGAGATGGGGTTTCACCATGTTGGCCAGGCTGGTCTTGAACTCCTGACCTCAGATGATCCACCCACCTCAGCCTCCCAAAGTGCTGGGATTATAAGCGTGAGCCACTGCGCCTGGCAAGATGCTCTCTTAAAAATGTCTCCTTTATACGGAGACAAAAGTTTACCTCCTTCCATTCATCAATCCTAATTTCTCTCAAAAAAAAAAGTATCTCCCTAAGAATAACTGTCCTTTGATTAATGACTCCAGAAGGTCCCTGTTTCAAATGCTAATACATCACCTGGGAAAAATACATTATTATTTTTTGGTTATTTGAGTGGTTTTCTTTCCCATTTGAAGTCTTTAAATTCCCTAAGAATAGGAATGGATATATACATATATACATATACACACACACACATACACATATATATGTCATACACTACCTAGTAATATATGTATGTATATGTATATATGTATACTACATATACATATATATACATGTGTATATGTATATATGTAAATTCTATATGTGTATCTTATATATTTATATATTTATAATATATATGTGTGTGCATGTGTGTGTGTGTATATATATATATATATATATATATGTACACACAGACATATATACTATACTGTGTATACCACCATTAATATTTGCTATACTGGGCACCATGCTGAGTTCACATGTGCGCTCTCTTATTCAATCTCCACAGCACTATAGAGCATTATTATTCCTATTTTATAGAGGAGAACAGTGAGGGGTTAAGTACCTTGAATGAGACCTCCCAGCTAATTAGTAGGATTCAAACCCAGTCATTCTGATTTTAAGCCTGTCCCTTTAAGCACCACACTATAACCTTTTCTATGCCTTGCACATACTAAGCCTAAATTAATGCTAGGTGAATGTATTATTTATTGAATTAATTAAATATCCCAGGCCGGGCTTGGTGGCTCACGTCTGTAATCCCAGCACTTAGGGAGGCCAAGGCAGGCAGATCACCTGAGCTCAATAGTTCGAGACCACCCTGGCCAATATGGCAAAACTCCATCTCTACCAAAAATACAAAAATTAGCCGGGTATAGTGGTACACAACTGTAGTCCCAGTTACTCGGGAGGCAGAGGTTGCAGTGAGCCAAGATTGCGCCACTACACCCCAGCCTGGGCAATAGAGCAAGACTCTATCTCAAAAAAACAAAAACGCAGGCCGGGCGCAGTGGCTCACACCTGTAATCCCAACACTTTGGGAGGCTGAGGTGGATGGATCACCTGAGGCTAGGAGTTTGAGACCAGCCTGACCAACATGGAGGAACCCCGTCTCTACTAAAAATAAAAAAATTAGTCATGCATGGTGGCGCATGCCTGTAATCCCAGTACTTGGGAGGCTGAGGCAGGAGAATCGCTTGAACCAGGGAGGCAGAGGTTGTGGTGAGCTGAGATCGTGCTGTTGCACTCCAGCCTGGGCAACAAGAGTGAAACTCCATCTCAAATAAATAAATAATAAATAAATAATAAAAATAAATAACCCACCCGTTCCCAGCAACACAAAACATGAGTGACTTTATCACATCAGTCATTCGCATCTGGAAACATAGAAAAGATGAACTTACGTGGAGGACAAGAGACAGTCTGGGGCCCAGGCCAGAGAAGACAGGGTCTCACTCACTCTGCCACCCAGGCTAGAGTGCAGTGGCATGATCTTCGCTCACTGCAGCCTCAACCTCCAGAGCTCATGTGATCCTCCCAGCTCAGCCTCCTGAGTACCTGGGACTAAGGTGTGCACCACCACGCCTGGCTAATTTTTTTTTTTTGGAGAGACAGAGTTTCACCATGTTGCCCAAACTGGTCCCAAACTCCTGGGCTCAAGTGATCCGCTCACTTCGGCCTCCTAAAGTGCTGGGATTATAGGCATGAGCTACCACACCTGGCCTTAGACTGCGTCTTTCGACTTCAAGGTGTTCCCAGTGTAGTTGGGGAGAAAGACAAAGGAAATGCAGTGGGCTTCTGAGTTTCCTCCTAAATCGCTCTTGAGCCGAGTCCATTCGAAGAACCTGAGTCCTTTACCTAGAATGCCTTTCTCCCCTACGTCAGTCTCTCCTCCATCAAGAACCAACTCAAATGTCACCTTTTCCTTGCAGCTCAAGCTACCCATTTTTTTCTCTCAAGGCAGAGTGATTCCTACTTCAGCTGGGTTCCCACTGCCTTCATACATACCCTGCTATCACACACATCACATCATATTGCATTTGTGTGTTTATCTGTCTAGACACCATGAGGGGCTCAAATGCTGAGCTTTTTAGTCTCAGGGCCCAGCACAGGGCTTTGCAGAGTCAGCACCCAGTAAATGTATGTTGTCAGTGAGTCAGCGAGTGAGCAAGAGATGGAATAAAGAGAGAGCCATCTTGCAGAAAGGAAAAACCCCTGGGCCCAAACTAGACCAGGACTTTGTACCTCACAAATGACATGCGGGTTTTTATCACTGTTATGCTCCTGCTACAAGGGTTGGTATGGCAACCCCCTCCTTCTCCAGAGCCAGGGTCCTCCAGAGACCTCCCCACCACTCCGGTGAGAAGTGAAGCGTGAATGATCTGCCACCCCAACACCCTCAGAGAGGCCAGCCAGCCTCCTGCCCTTCTCCCTAGCTGTGCCAGAACAGCAGGGCCCCCAGGCTGGAAAGTTTGCCAACTGAGTCCACTGGGGAGAGTCCACCAGGACCAAGGGGGAGAGTCTAGAAAACGTTAGAGGCTAAGGAATCTAAGATAACCAGGAATGAGTAGGAGGTGGAGAGAAGAATTCAGTGAGGCCCAAGTGGGCAGAGGCAACAATGAACAAGTTCCAGATAAACAATAAGGAATTTGTCAGGGCAAAAGAGAAGAGCTCCCAAAGACACAACTGTTACCCCTTTGGGAACGTTATGGCCAGCAGGAAAGGCCCAAGACCCAAGGCAAGATCTGGGATGACGCCAGGTAGAGAAGGAGTCTGCAGGACACATGAGGCCAAGAGGGCACTTAGACTGTATATTTAACATCTAAGGCTAGCTGTTCCCCAGAGAAGGGGACTCCTACAGGGCAAGGTTTTCTCTTTTTTTTTTTTTTCTGACACAGAGTCTCGCTCTGTCACCCAGGCTAGAGTGCAGTGGCGTGAGTTTGGCTCACTGCAACCTCCATCTCCCGGGGCAAGGTTTTCTTATAGGGACTGGTGGAGAATTCACCAGGCCTGGATCAAAAAAAAAAAAAATAAAGAAAGAAAAAAGAACAAATGGTAACAAGCACATGAAAAGAAGCTCAACACCATTAGTCATTAGGGAAATATTAAAAAAAATTTTTTTTGAGACAGAGTCTCTCTCTCTCACCCAGGTTGGAGTGCAATGGCATGATACCGGCTCACCGCAACCTTAGCCTCTCGGGTTCAACCCATTCTCCTGCCTCAGCCTCCCGAGTAGCTGGGATTACAGGCACCTGCCATCGTGCCCGGCTAATTTTAGTATTTTTAGTAGAGACGAGGTTTCATTATATTGGCCAGGCTGGTCTTGAACTCCTGACATCAGGTGATCTGCCTGCCTCGGCCTCCCAAAGTGCTGGGATTACAGGCATGAGCCACCACGCCCGGCCAGGAAATACAAATTGAAACCACAAATCAAAACCACAATGAGATACCACTGCCCACCCACCTACTAGGATGGCTATAATCAAAAAAACAAACAATGGCTGGGTGCAGGGGCTCACACCTGTAATCTCAGCACTTTGGGAGGCTGAGGTGGGAGGATCACTTGAGCTCAGGAGTTCAAGACCAGCCTTGGCAACATAGCAAGACTCCATCTCTACAAAAAATCAAAAAATTAGCCAGGCATGATGGTGCATGCCATGTTGGGGTGGAATAGTCCCAGCTACTCAGGAGGCTAAGGTGGGAGGATTGCTTGAGCCCAGGAGATCAAGGCTGCAGTGAGCCATGATTGTGCCACTGCACTCCAGCCTGGGCAGCAGAGCAAGACCCTGTCTCAAAATAATAATAATAATAATATTAATAATAATGTGTTTATGATAATGTGGAGAAACTTTATACATTGCTGATGGGAATGTAAAATGGTACAGCTGCTTTAGAGAATAGTCTGGAGGTTCCTCAACATGTGAAACAGAGAATAATCCTATGACCCAGCAATTCCACTCCTACCCAAAAGAATTGAAAACAGGTATTTAAACAAAACCTGACATACAAATGTTCATATACCCAAAAGAATTGAAAACAGGTATTTAAACAAAACCTGATATACAAATGTTCATATACCCAAAAGAATTGAAAACAGGTATTTTAACAAAACCTGACATACAAATGTTCATAGCAGCACTATTCACAATCACCAAAGGGTGGAAACAACTCAAAAGTCCATCAACAAAGGAATGGATAAACCAAATGTGGTATATTCCACACAATGGACTATTATTCAACTTATGAAAAGAATGAAGTGCTGATACCTGCTACAGCATGAATGAGCCTCAAAAACATTATTCTGGGCCAGACATGGTGGCTCACGCCTGTAATCCCAGCACTTCTGGAGGCTGAGGCAGGAGGATTGCCTGAGCCTGGTCAACATGGTGAAACCCCATCTCTACTAAAAATACAAACAAGGCCAAGCCCGGTGGGTCACGCCTGTCATCCCAGCACTTTGGGAGGCCAAGGCGGGCAGATCACCTGAGGTCGGGAGTTCGAGACCAGCCTAGCCAACATGGTGAAACCCCATGTCTACTAAAGATACAAAAAAATTAGCCAGGTATGGTGGCACGTGCCTGTAGTCCCAGGCTACTCAGGAGGCTGAGACAGGAGAATCACTTGAACCTGGGAGGCAGAGGTTGCAGTGAGCCAAGATAGCGCCAGTGCACTCCAGCCTGGGTGACAGAGTGAGACTCTGTCTCAAAAAAAAAAAAAATACAAACAAAAAAAATTAGCTGGGCATAGTGAACAAATGGTAACCAGCACATGAAACACATGTACAGGTACGTGCCTGTAATCCCAGCTACTTGGGAGGCTGAGGCATGAGAATCGCTTGAACCCAGGAGGCAGAGGTTGCAGTGAGCCAAGATCACGCCCCTGCTCTCCAGCCTGGGCAACAGAGCAAGACTCTGTCTCAAAAAAATAAAATTTTAAAATAAAAAAAATTATGCTGAGTTAAAGAAGCCAGACACAATAGGTCACGTATTGTATGATTCCATTTATATTAAACGTCCAGAGTAGGCAAATTCATAGGGACAGAAAGCAGATGAGTGGTTGTCAGGGCCTAAGGCAAGGGAGGAATGGTAAGTGACTGTTTAAGGAGTATAAGGTTTCTTTTCGGGATGATAAACATATTTTGGAACTACATTAGAGGTAATGGTTGCATAATATCATAAATGTACTAAATGCCATTGAATCATACACTTTAAAATGGTTAATTTTGGTGCATACCTGTAGTCCCAGGGACTTGGGAGGCTGACTTGAGTCCATGAGTTCTGGGCTGTAGTGCACTCTACCAATTGGGCATCCACACTGAGTTTGGCATCAATATGGTGACCTTCCAGGAGCAAGGGACAACCAGCGGCCTAAGGAGGGGTGAACAGCTCAGGTCAGAAACTGAACAGGTCAAAACTCTTGCGCTGATCAGTAGAGGTATCACACCTGTAAATAGTCACTGTACTCCAGCCTGGACAACATAGCAAGATCCTATCTCTACTAAATAAATAAAATGGTTAATTTTATGTTGTGTGAATTTCATCTTTATTTATTTTTTAAAAAAGAACATTGGTTGCAGTGAGCCAAGATTGTGCCACTGTGCTGCAGCCTGGGTGACAGAGTGAGACCCTGTCTCAAAAAAAAAAAAAAAACGAGTATTGGCTGTCAGAGCCATTTAAGTCACTCATGGTCATTGCCTTCTCCACCCAGGTGGACACCAGGTCTCTCTGCCTAACAAAGGCAGGGAATTACAGCTAGGGAGCTTTACCAACCCCACCAGGCGCTGAGGCACAGAACCCCTCTATTGCCTGCCTCCTCTCCACCTCGGCAACTCTCTCTCTGCCTGGTGAGGCCACAGGTGCCCCTGAACCCTCAGAGGTGTCAGGACAGGAAACTGGGGCAGAGGACCAGCTCCTTAGCACTGCCCTTCCCTCAAGCTCACTAAGTGGTTCCTTCATGGGTTTGCACAGTCAATAATTCACCAGCCTGCCAAGGTGCTAGCGGGACAGAAAAGCCCCCCCACTGCTCTCCTGCTAAAGGGGCCCAGGCTGATGAGGGAGATTCTGTCTGCTACTCCATAAACACTGACCGTTTACTGATGGCCTACTATGGGCCAGCACAGCACATGAGATTTGACATGATTATCACATTGCATCCTCATGATAACCCTGTGAGACAAACAGTGTCAAGCCCACAGTAGGATTTTTGCGGGTCTGAGACACCTTTGCTTTTGTGGGCCCCTTCCTCTATAAAAATAATACTAAAAATTATATTTTACAGCTGCATTGATAAAAGAATATTTAATAATGTCTTAATATATCAAGACGTTTTCTTTGACCTAAATTTTCATTTCTTTCTTCAGATGTGAAAAGTAACCAAAACTTTTTTTTTTTTTTTTTTTGTGAGACGGAGTCTTGCTCTGTCACCCAGGCTGGAGTGTAGTGGCGCCATCTCAGCTCACTGCTACCTCCACCTCCCGGGTTCAAGCAATTTTCCTGCCTCAGCCTCCTGAGTAGCTGGGACTACAGGCATGCACCACCACACTCGCCTAATTTTTGTAATTTTAGTAGAGACGGGGTTTCACCATGTTTGTCAGGCTGGTCTCAAACCCCTGACCTCGTGATCTGCCCGCCTCAGCCTCCCAAAGTGCTGGGATTACAGGCATGAGCCACCGCATCCGGCCCTTTTTTTTTTTTTTTTTTTTTTTTTTTCCTAGAGGGAGTCTTACTCTTGTCACCCAGGCTGGAGAACAGTGGTGCAATCTTGGCTCACTGCAGCCTCCAACCCCTGGGTTCAAGCGATTCTACTGCTTCAGCCTGCCAAGTAGCTGGGACTACAGGCACCCACCACCATGTCAGCTAATTTTTGTATTTTTAGTAAAGACAGAGTTTTACTTTGTTGGCCAAGCTGGTCTCAAACTTGACCTCAGGTGACCTGCCTGCCTTGGCCTCCCAAAGTGCTGGGATTACAGGCGTGAGCCACTGCGCCTGGCCAAAAAATAACTAAAACATTTTTATGGACCCTTAAAAGTACCATGGGACCTAGAATATTGAGCCTCTTGTGCCTGATGGATGAGTCAGTCCTGGATATTACTGTTATTTCACAGATAAGAAAACTGAGGCTTAAATTACAGAGCTAAAAAGTGGTAGGTTATAGAAGGAGAAGGGTTGCAAAAAAAAAAAAAAAAAAAAAAAAAAGTGGCAGGGATACATTTGTGGGCAACTGATTTTAGAAAAGGGTGCCAAAAAAATTCAATGGGGAAAGAATAGTGTTTTCTACAAATGGTACTGGTACAGCTGAATATCCACAAACAAAAGAATAAAGTAGACCCCTACTTCATACCATATACAAAAATTAATTAGGCTCGGCACAGTGGCTCATGCCTGTAATCCCAGCACTTTGGGAGGCCGAGGCAGGCGGATCACCTGAGGTCGGGAGTTCGAGACCAGCCTGACCAAGATGGAGAAACCCTGTCTCTACTAAAAATACAAAAAAATAGCCAGGCATGGTGGCGGGCACCTGTAGTCCCAGCTACTTGGGAGGCTGAGGCAGGAGAATGCTGTGAATCCTGGAGGCAGAGCTTGCAGTGAGCCGAGATCACGCCACTGCACTCCAGCCTGAGCGACAGAGCAAGACTCCGTCTCAAAAAAAAAAGAAAAAAGAAAGAAAATAGTCTGGAATTAGATAGTGGTGCTGGTTGTGCAACCTTATCAATATACCAAAAACCACTGAATTGTACACTTTAAAATGGTGAGTTTTATGGTATGTGAGTTGAATCTCTATTTTTAAAAAGTAAAATTATTGTGGTAATGGTTGTGTAATTATAAACATACTAAATATCGAATTGTACACTTTAAAGGGTGAATTGTATGGCATGTGAATTACATCTCAAGAAAGCTATTACCAAAAAAAATTATAGGATTAGTGATCAAATCCAGGTCTTTCCATTCCCAAAACAAATACTCCTAACTGCTCTCCCACTCTGCCTTATTTGCCAACTGACTAGTCCCAAAGGGGCTCTTTACCTCCCTGCTTGCAACACACAAGCTCCTTTTCCTCTCCTACCCTGCCCTCTGAGCACCAAAAAGGCAAATGGTTTCTTCTGTTTTTCATATTTTATTTTATCTCCACAAAAACTGAAGCACTGTATGGTTTCTTCTTTCTAAGCACAGTGTTGTCCAGCTCAGGCCCTCCTCAAAAGCTCTTAAGTACCTGCAATCCAAAGTCCATTCTCTTTCTCTGAATTATGGAAAGAGGGAAAATAAAATAATAAAGTCGTCCAATCTCCTTAACTGGGAAACCAAGGCCTCTCAAGATCTGGCACCATCTTTGTTTTCCTAGGACCCTGCTCCACATGGCCAAACAAATCTCGTTGTCCTTCCTTGAGCCATGTCCTTTGCTGCTGTCCCAGTGCCTGCAAACCCACTCTCCACCCCTCCACTGCATGGCTAAATCCTGACTGTCTGCTCTGATGCTACCTGGCACTTTCTCTCTGAGTTCACAGTTTCACGCACCCATGCACAAGCATTAACTGCACTTCCTCTGAGCTCTCATGGGTCTCTATTTATCCCTCTACACATTTCTCCCTATATTAAATCACTGATACATATATTCCTTGAGGACTGCACAGTCAACAACCCAACTGGTTGTTGGCACACTGTGACACTCACAAAAGTCACACTACGACACTCACAAAAGTCTGGCACACTGCGACACTCAACCAAAGTCACACCAAACCCACTAAAGTGAATTCAATCTCGCCCCCAATCATCCCTCTGCTCTTTTTTCCCTAATGGCAGTTTTCCTGCCAACTAAAAACACTACAGGCAATTTGAACATGATGTTTAGAATTATAATGGATGAAAACCAGTTACAGCCACATTCATTTCATATAAATTAACCTCTGTGAGCTTTATTGCCTTGGTTGCCTTGACTACCCAGCTGTCGGTTGGCATACCCTGCTCAGCCCAAGAGGTGGAAATGTTCCCCTAGCACAGTGATGTCAGCTGGAGTTAAAGGAAGAGAGTGAGATCAGAGCCTGAAGTACCAGCAACTTCTTGAGTGGTTCACACCACCATCTCATGGGGACCCCTCCTACCTGTTCCTCAACTCCAACTGAGACAGCCACGGGGTTGGGAAGTCCAAGGGGGTGTGCCACGGTTGTGCTCTGACAAGGTGTCAGGAAGGGAGCTAGAGAGAGACAGGCCAACCCCTACTCTGGGTTTCCCTTAGGTTGTCTTCATCGGAAATGCCTCTCAATTTCCTAACCACTGCTGCCCCCTGGTGCCCTGATCTGCCACACCCTACAACACACCACCAGCCCTACCCTATGGAACATTAGAAATACATCCCAACAGCCGGGCGCAGTAGCTCACGCCTGTAATTCCAGCATTGTAAGAGGCCAAGGCAGGCAGATCACCTGAGGTCGGAGTTTGAGACCAGCCTGAGCAACTGGAGAAACGCCATGGCTCACACCTGTAATTGCAGCACTTTAAGAGGCCAAGGCAGGCAGATCACCTGAGGTCAGAGTTCGAGACCAGCCTGAGCAACTGGAGAAACACCATCTCTACTAAAAAAAAAAAATACAAAATTAGCCAGCGTAGTGGCGCATGCCTGTAATCCCAGCTACTCAGGAGGCTGAGGCAGGAGAATCACTTGAACCCAGGTGGCGGAGGTTGTGGTGAGCCAAGATCACGCCATTGCACTCCAGCCTAGGCAACAAGAGTGAAACTCTGTCTCAAAAAAAAAAAAAGAGAAAGAAAGAAAAGAAATACATCTCAGCACTTTGGGAGGCCAAAACGGGTGGATCACTTAAGGTCAGGAGTTCAAGACCAGCCTGGCCAACATGGGGAAGCCCCTTCTCTACTAAAAATACAAAAATTATCTGGTTGTGGTGACACATACCTGTCCCAGCTACTCAGGAGGCTGACGCGGGGAATTGCTTCCACCCGGGAGGCAGAGGTTGCAGTGAGCTGAGATCGCACCACTGCACTCCAGCCTGAACGACAGAGTAAGACCCTGTCTCAGAAAACAAAAACAAACAAAAAAAATGTGATTTACATTTTCTAGTAGCCACATTTTAAAAGGTAAAAATAAACAGGTGAAATTAATTTTAATAATACATTTATTTTATGACCAGGCACAATGGCCTACACCTGTAATCTCAGCACTTTCAGAGGCCAAGGCAGAAGGACCTCCTTGCTGGTTTCAAGAGTTTGAAACCAGCCTAGGCAACATAGTAAGGCCACGTCTCTACAAAATAATATTAATATTAATGTATTCTATGTAGCCCAGTATATACAAACTATTAGCAGTTCAATGTATAATCAGTATTAAAAAAAAATTTTTTTTTTGAGACAAAGTCTCTCCTGTCGCCATGCTGGAGTGCAGGGGTGCCATCTTGGCTCACTGCAACCTCCACGTCCCAGATTTAAGTGATTCTCCTGCCTCAGCCTCCCTAGTAGCTGGGACCACAGGCGTGCACCACCACACCCAGCTAATTTTTAAATATTTTTTAGTAGAGACGGGGTTTCAGCATGTTGCCCAGGATGGTCTTGATCTCCTGGCCTCGTGATCCACCCGCCTCGGCCTCCCAAAGTGCTGGGATCACAGTCATAAGCCACCATTCCTGGCCCAGTATAAAAATTATTGAGATATTCTACATTCTTTCTTCCATGCTAACTCTTCAAAATCTAGTGTGTCCTTTATACTTCCAGTACACCTGAAATCAGACAAGCCACATGTCAAGTGCCCAAAAGCCACATGTGGTTCATGGCTACTGTGCTGGAGAGCCTAGTGTCTGTGCTGGACAACTTAGTGCTTGTCCCTTGAACAGTACTGTCTCTGTGGGCCTAACCAGAGCTGCCTGTGCCCTGAACCAAATTTATCTCTAGGCCAGTCCTGTTCCCTGTGCTCCAAGCTCAGAGACCCAGCTTCCTGCTTGTCATCTCCGCTTTCCTGTCTTACAGAAATCTCTAAGTTCATCAAAACTGCATTTGCATTTTCCTCCCCAAAATGTATCTCCCACAACCCACTCCAACTCAGTAAATGGCACCATAATCCACCCAGTTGCTAGAAGTCAAATCCAAGGAGTCTCATTTTCCTTCATCCAAATGGTTATAAAGTCCTGTCAATTCCGTCCATAGATATATCTGTTCACCTGCATCCATCTCCACTGCTATTGCCCTAGTCCAGGCCACCAACATTTTGCCTGGACTACAAAATGATTCCTTTCCATTTATTTATTTATTATTTATTTATTTATTTATTTATTTTTGAGACAGAACCTCCGCCTCCCGGGTTCAAGCGATTCTCCTGCCTCAGCCTCCCAAGTAGCTGGGACTACAGGTGCACGCCACCACGCCTGGCTAATTTTTGTATTTTTAGTAGACACGGGGCTTCACCATGTTGGCCAGGATGGTCTCGATCTCTTGACCTCATGATCCGCCCACCTCAGCCTCCCAAAGTGCTGGGATTACAGGCGTGAGTCACTGCGCCCGGCCTCAATGATTTCTAACTAGTTTAACTCCCACCTTCCCACCTTCTCACTCTATACCCACACAGAGCAGCCTGAGGGACTGGACCACTCCCCTACCCACATCCCTCCACCAGCTTCCCGATGCCTTCTACTAAAATCCAAACTCCTGGCCTAGTTTTGCCACACCCTCCACAACTTGCTCCCTGCACCTCACTGCCCATCACTCTCCCACTGGCCATATGCCTCAAATCTGCTAAACTCGTTTCCACTTCCTGGTCCCTTTCTCTGGAATGCTCTTCCTCCAGACCCTTCCATTGCCTGGCTCCTTCTCATCATTCAGGTCTCCAGAGTGGCCTTCCCTCTCCACCTTATCTGCAATAGTCCCTTCATCCTTAGTCATTTGCTAGCCCATCATCTTTTTATGTTCTCCAGAGCATTCATCATTTCCTGATATTATTTGTCTAATTGGTTATTTGCCTTCTGTCTTCTTCCAGTACAACATAAGCTCCATGACAGAAAGCATTTCTCCTGTATTGTTCATCGCTGTTTTGGGAGCAAATAGAACAGCGTCCAACACAGAGTAACACATGCATGAGTGAGTGAGTGGATGAATGCTATTCCCTCTGTCTGGAACACTCTTTCCATCCCATGGCTCCTCCTCTTTCAGGTCTTAGGCTAAGTGTCACCTGCTCAGAGAATCCTCCCAGAATGGCCTGCTTTGTTCTCTATCTTAGCACCCGCCTTGCTACCCTCACAGCACATACCACAATTTTAACTTTTTTTTTTTTTTTGAGACAGAGTTTCACTCTTGTTGCCCAGGCTGGAGTGCAGTGGTGCAACCCCGTTCACCACAACCTCTGCCTCCCAGGTTCAAGCGATTCTCCTGCCTCAGCCTCCCAAGTAGCTGGGATTAGAGGCATGTGCCACCACGCCCAGCTAATTTTGTATTTTTAGTAGAGATGGGGTTTCTCCATGTTGGTCAGGCTGGTCTCCAACTCCCAACCTCCGGTGATCCGCTGGCCTCGGCCTCCCAAAGTGCTGGGATTACAGACATGAGCCGCCGTGCCTGGTATCAGAATTTTTACTTTAACTAATTCGTGTACTTTCATTTTTGTCTTCTCCCATTGCCCTTATCACCACTTCTAGACACTGCACTCCATAAACAGGGTCAATGTCTGTACAGTTCACTCCTGTCACTCACTGCCTGGCACAAAGCCTGGCATGTGGTGGATGTCCAATAAACACTGGATGTGAATGAATAACCAACTCTTCCTGGGACTTCCCAGGCCTGCCCAGGAGAACAATCCCCTGGGAGTATCCCACCAGGTCCCTACAAAAAACTTGCCTCGCCCAGGTCACCTCTAATTTCCAGGAGCTGTAGCTCCCGCCTCACTGGAACACTGAGGCTGCCTGGGCATGATGTGAGCTGGGGACCCCAGCTTCAAAGAAAGGAGCGGGACTGGGGCAGAAAGAGAGAGGATCGTCGTCCCCAGAGTATACATCTGAGTCTTGCCAATTCCCCTCCCTCCCTCCCCCAGGGTCATCAGACCCCTCCTCCCACCAAGGGTCCCAGGAGTCCACCCAGGTTGGGCTGAGGGAGGGTTTCTGACCCAGCTCCCACCTTCCCCAGTACCTATCCCAACCCCACTGGGCTGAACACACAGCCAGGGACTTCGGTATTCCCACTTACCAAGCCAGAAAGCAACAGAGTCTGTCGGCGGGAGCTCCCCATCCCCACACTGTGGCTAGACAGAGTTCTACAACATCCTTGGGCACACCTGAAATCAGACAAGCCACATGTCAAGTGCCCAACAGCAACACGTGGTTAGTGGCTATTGCACCAGACAGCTTAGCTCTTGCTCCCCGAACATCATGGCCCCAGGATTTCTGTTAGAAACCCTTCCACTCAAGTCTCAAGCCTTAGAGATCATAGAACCCAAGCTCTTCACTGCTGTAAAAGCCCAGAGAGCAGCAGAGACAGGCCCAGGGTCACACAGCCCAGGCCAGAACCCCAGGCTCCTATGGGTGGGGGTAACAGACACAGCGTCCCCTGGAGCCCAGGAGTTCAGGCCACCCCTGCCTTTTCTCATTTCTTTCTTCCATTCTTCCTCCCCTGCATCAGGAAAACCATGAGAGGTCAGGTTATAACTTCCTCACACCTGGGCTTTCACCTCCATGGTTATATTTCCAAACCCACAGTACCGGGCAGGGCAGGGAAGTAGGTGGCAGGTTTGGGTTTGGGGGGATTTTGTTTGTTTGAGAGGGGTCTCCCCGCTGTCACCCAGGCTGGAGTGCAGTAGTGTAATCGAATGCACCACTGGAGTGCAGTCGAGGATCACTGCAGCCTCGACTTCCTGGGCTCAAGCCCCATCTTCCCACCTCGGCCTCCCATGTCCAGCTAATTTTTTTTCTTTAGAGATGGGGTTACTTACTACGTTGCCCAGGCTGGTCTTGAACCCCTGGCCTCAAGTGATCCTCCCCACCTTGGCCTCACAAAGTGCTGAGGTTATGGGTGTGAGCCACCATGTCCAGGCTGTCTCCCCTTTCTGAAAGCTGTCCGTGATGACACCGAGGCCTGGGTGAAGTGACCTGCACAAGCACACACAGTGAGGTGGAAGCACTGCCACGACCAGCACAGGAATGCTCTCTCCAGCTCAGGGCCGGGTCCCACTGCCCTGGCACCTCCTGGAAGGGCCCGGGTCTGGGCCCCCATGCTGCCAGCTCTAACATAGAAGGCAGTCAGTGGATCAGGCCCAGCCCACAGCTGCTCCAGGTCCGGGAAGGATCAGACCCAGCCCACAGCCAATCCGCGTCGGGCGGGGAAGGGCTGAACGTGGAGTAACTCTCAGTACAGCCGCTGAAAGCCAGGGCTCTGGCCCCTCCACTGCCACTCTTCTGCTCCAGGGACAGCTGTGCTGGCCGAGCGCCACCTCAGGAGCGGGTCAGCATCGTTGTCCCCTCTGCCCCCCAAGGGCCTGGGAGATCCTGAGGGGAAAAAACCAAAGCCCTTTGGCAAGTAACTCTGACCAAAAACAGAAAAAAAACGGCCGGGCACAGTGGCTCACACCTGTAATCCCAGCACTTTGAGAGGCCGAGGCGGGCAGACTCTTGAGGCCAGGAGTTCAAGACCAGCCTGGCCAACATAGTGAAACCTCGCCTCTACTAAAAACACAAAAATTAGCCAGGCGTGGTGGTGAGTGCCTGTAATCCCAGCTACTCAGGAGGCTGAGGCAAGAGAATCATTTGGACTCGGAAGGGAGAGGTTGCAGTGAGCAGAGATCGCACCACTGCACTTCAACCTGGGCAACAGAGCAAGACTCAAAAAAAAAAAAGAGGCCGGGCGCGGTGGCTCACGCCTGTAATCCCAGCACTTTGGAAGGCTGAGGTGAGCGGATCACGAGTTCAGGAGATCGAGACCATGCTGGCTAAGACGGTGAAACCGCGTTTCTACTAAAAATACAAAAAATTAGCCGGGCGTGGTGGCGGGCGCCTGTAGTCCCAGCTACTCGGGAGGCTGAGGCAGGAGAACGGCGTGAACCCGGGAGGCCGAGCTTGCAGTGAGCTGCACTCCAGCCTGGGCGACAGAGCGAGACTCCGTCTAAAAAAAAAAAAAACAAAACAACAGCAACAACAACAACAAGAACAAAAAACAGAAAAAGCAAGGCCTGGGCTCCACATATTTCCTCCCCTCACCATCCTCCATGGACTCTGTTCGCCCTCACAGTGTGCAGGGCTCGGGGACCCAGGTGACAAGGGCCGACCTGCCAGCCGACCACCTGGCAGGAACCGCAATGGTTGGGCGGATACAGTGGCTCTGCCTGTGATCCCGGAGCTTTGGGAGGCCGAGGCGGGAGGATGGCTTGAGCCCAGGATGTCGAAGCTGAGTGAGCCGAGATGACGTCACTGCACTCCAGCCTGGGTGACATAGTGAGGTGACCCCTCTCATAAAAAGAAAAAGAAAAGGAAAGAAAGTGAGAGAAATAGAGAGAGAAGGAAGGAAAAGAAAGAAAGAAAAGACAAGAAAAAAGAGGGAGAAAGGCAAGGGAAAGACAGGAAACGCAGGGACTGACTGAGGGACTGATGGAGGAGGCGTGTGAGCCGGGCTGGGGACGCGACTGACTGATCGGCTGACAGGATGACCAGCTGCACTGGGGTTGCTGAGGGGTGGCAGCGACAGCCAGCCTCTCAGCCTCGGTTTCCGCCTGCCTCCTGCCTCAAGCCAACTCACTGCGTGGCCTACCCCGACACTAACCGGCGCCTGAACCAAAACCCACGGAGCCTGGCGGCCGCGGCTCCCTCAGAGAGTCGCCCTAGACCCTGCGCGGCTCCACAGCGCCACCTCGAGGCTGCGCCTGGAAGGGAGGGGCTGGGGAAGTGGGCGGAGTCAAGGGCGGGGCTACAGGTGGAGCGTCGGCAGGAGCTCCAGCATCCCCTTTCCCGGGACGCCGCTCCTCTTCCCCGCCTCCTTGGCTCTCCCCCGGAGCCTCTTCCTCCTCCCCCGTTCGAGTGGGCAGGTCCCCGCGGGAGCCTGAGTCGCACTGCAGACCTATCCTGTGACCTGAAAGAAACTCCCAGTTCCCCATTAGACCCCCTGGCAGCCTGGGCATCCCGGCGGTTCCAGGGACCCGCTGGGGCGGATGACGGCCGAACCTTTGGGCGCCAGGCTGGCAGTAGACGTGATAGAGGTGAAAACCCCACCACCCTCTTAATCCCCAGAAATGCTACAGGATTCTGGGGGGCCTGAGCGAGCAGCTGAGGACAAGGGCCGATGATATTTGCTTTATTTGTTACTGGGCTTGCTCCCTCCCCCGCATCCCGCTGCTCTTCACACTTGCAAGCTCACCTGACTGCCAGGTGGCCGGTCTGGAGCATGGCGAGCACCTTCGAGCCCCATAGATGGCAGCACAGGCCTAAGAAAAGTCGTACCAGAATGGTGTCTCCCTTCCAAACTCAGGCCGGGAGAGATAGAGCCACTTAGGGGAGAAAACTAATGTCCAGAGTGGCAGAAACATCCTCACATCCCGAAGGGTCTTGAACCCTAACTTCTTGCCCCAGGACAAGAAGACAAGGCAGAGTAAAGAGAGGCTCACAGGGAGAGGCAAGTGACAGTTCAGAACACAGGTGCACCATGCCACGCGACTGTGGGCGTCTCCTCACCTCTCTGAGGCCGTTTCCTGAACTGTAAAATCAGGGACAAGAAGGATACCTGCGTCACGGGATGTTCTGAGATTAACTGAGATGCTGCATGCAAATCACTTAACCACAGGGCATGTGGTAAGTGCTCTAATATATGTAAAGCAACGTTCCACTGCTTTTTGTTTGTTTGTTTTTGAGACACAGTCTCGCTCTGTCACCTAGGCTGGAGTACAGTGGCATGATCATAGCTTACTGCAGCCTCAAACTCCTGGGCACAAGTGATTCTCCCACCTTAGCCTCCTGAGTGGCTGGGACTATAGGTATAGCTATCGAGCCCAGCTAATTTATCTTTTTTTATGTTTTGGAGAGATGGTGTCTTTCTACATTGCCCAGGCTGGTCTGGACCTCCTGGCCTCAAGCAATCCTCCCGCCCTGGCCTGCCAACGTGCTAGGATTACAGGACTGAGCCACCATGCCCTGCTGAGTGTGATGTCTTTTTTACTGTGTCAACTTGGCTAGACTAAAGGCCCCAATTATTCCAACACTAAACTGGATGTTTTGGTGAAGTTGTTTTGTAGATGCGAATAAAGTCCATTATCAGTTGACTTTACATAAAAGGAAGATATCCTGGATAATTTAGGTGGGCTTGATAGACGCAGTTGAAAGGCCTTAAAATCAGACTTGAGGTTTTCCTGAAGAAGAAATTCTGCCTGTGGATAGCAACTTCAGCCCTTGACAAGAGTTCCAGCCTGCACTTACTGCACTTACCTAGCCAGCCCCACAATCACGCAAATCACCTCCTTGCAACAAATCTCTTAATCTGTATCCCCTTACTGGTACAGTTTCTCTGATTGAACCCTAATACATTAAGGAAGCAGTATGGCCAGGCGCAGGGGCTCACACCTGTAAACCCAGCACTTTGGGAGGCCGAGGCAGGCGGATCACTTGAGGTCAGGGGTTCGAGACCAGCCTGGCCAACATGGTGAAATTGTCTCTACTAAAAATACAAAAATTAGCCTGGTGTGGTGGTACGCGCCTGTAATCCCAGCTACTCAGGAGGCTGAGGCACAAGAATAGCTTGAACCCGGGAGGCGGAGGTTGCAGTGAGCCGAGATTGCACCACTGCACTCCAGCCTGGGCAACAGAGCAAGACTCTATCTCAAAATAAAAAGGAGTGTGTGTGTGTGTGTGCGCGCATGTGTGTGTGTGTGCGTGTGTGTTGGGGGTCACAGGGCCTAATCTTCGTGTTTATTCACTCCTTTTTTTTTTCGAGGCAGTCTCACTCTGTTCCCCAGGGTGAATTGCAGTGACACGATCTTGGCACACTGCAGCCTCGACCTCCCAGGCTCAAGCAATCTTCCCACCTCAGCCTCTTGAGTAGCTGGAACTACCAGGCCTGGCTAATTTTTGTATTTACTGTTTTGCCATGTTACCCAGGCTACTTTCAAACTCCTGAACTCAAGCAGTCCACCTGCCTCGGCCTCCAAAAGTGCTGGGATTACAGGTGTGAGTCACCGTGCCCAGCCTATTCATTTCTTTTTAATCTCCGGGTAGTTTGTGACTTTTGAGGTCCAGTACTTGGAGGCACTAGCAAAACCATGGTTATTTATTGGTTGGGGTGGGCTATGAGGTAGCTAGAGGCAGAGGGCCCCTTCCACCAGTCCTGCCCCCTGAGGCCTCAGCTTCGTGGATGTGCCTGCTCATTCCCCTCTTCTCCCTGCCTCAGGTGTAGGCCTGGAAATGAGAGCTACAAAGTATGCTGTCCCTGGGAACCAGCTGGTGAGGAGGAGGCTTCTACCCCAGCAACCATCTGTCCCACATGTCCCTGTACCCCGCCTCTCCCGCCTCTACCCCACAGGCTCATGTGTCATGCACAAACACCTTTTGCCCGCCTGCCCTAATTCTTTTTTTTTTTTTTTGAGAAGGAGTCTCACTGTGTCGCCCAGGCTGGAGTGCAGTGGTGTGATCTCGGCTCACTGCAACCTCCGCCTCCCGGGTTCACGCCATTCTCCTGCCTCACTCTCCCGAGTAGCTGGGACTACAGGTGCCCACCACGACACCCGGATAATTTTTTGTATTTTTAGTAGAGACGGGGTTTCACCATGTTAGCCAGCATGGTCTCGATCTCCTGACCTCGTGATCCGCCTGCCTCGGCCTCCCAAAGTGCTGGGATTACAGGCGTGAGCCACCGCGCCCGGCCAGGCAGAACCTTAAAGGCAGGTGGAGAGCACCTGTAATAGAAAGTGGCTCTCATGATGAAGCTCTGCTGAGCTGAGAGATCTTGTCACTTCCTAGACCCTTGGTTTGCTCCTCTGCACCCTCAATGGTGGTGAGCAACAAGGAGGTGGCCAACTTGAAAGCACCTGGGGCTTTATGGGCTCTTGGATTATCTTCCTTTCCTCCCCAGGAAACTCGGGAGGCTGGAGAAACATCACATGGTGGGAAGAGAGTAGGCTCATGAGTCAGCAAGCCTGAGTTTGAGGCCTGCTGCCCCCACTTGCAAGCCATGGGACCTTCAGGAAGATCTGGAACCTCTCAGAGCCTGATTTCCTCATCTATAAGATGGGCCATGGCTGGGCGTGGTGGCTCACACCTGTAATCCCAGCACTTTGGAAGGCCGAGGCTGGTGGATCACCTGAGATCGAGAGTTCAAGACCAGCCTGACCAACATGGAGAAACCCTGTCTCTACTAAAAATACAAAATTAGCCGGGTGCGGTGGCTCACGCCTGTAATCCCAGCACTTTGGGAGGCCGAGGCAGGAGGATCACGAGGTCAGGAGATCGAGACCATCCTGGCTAACACAGTGAAACCCCATCTCTACTAAAAATACAAAAAATTAGCCGGGCGTGGTGGCGGGTGCCTGTAGTCCCAGCTATTCGGGAGGCTGAGGCAGGAGAATGGCATGAACCCGGGAGGCAGAGGTTGCAGTGAGCCGAGATCGCGCCACTGCACTCCAGCCTGGGTAACAGAGTGAGACTCCGTCTCAAAAAAAAAAAAAAAAAATTAGCTGGGCGTGGTGGCGCATGCCTGTAATACCAGCTACTCGGGAGGCTGAGGCAGGCGAATCACTTGAACCCAGGAAGCAGAGGTTGCGGTGAGCCGAGATTGCACCATTGCACTCCAACCTGGGCAACAAGAGTGAAACTCCATCTCAAAAAAAAAAAAAAAGAAAAGACAGGCCAGTGGGTGCGGAGCCCCCTCCCAGAGCTCCTGTGGGGACAGTAACACAGCTGGCACACAATGCTCTCTCCACCTTTAGTAGGGGGTTGGTAAAAGTGAAAGCCCCCATGTTAACATAAGAGTGTCGTTACTACTGCTGAAAAACACGACACCCGATCCCTCTAAAAAAAATCCCAAAAACCTGCTTCTCCCGACGTGCAGCGTTGAAAAAGGCACTCCTTTTTAAGACCACCCCTGAGAGTGTGTGCCTCCTTAAATGTTGTTCCCTAGGCCTGGCACGGTGGCTCATGCCTGTAATCCTAGCATTTTGGGAGGCCTAAGTGGGAGGATTGCTTGAGCCCAGAAGTTTGAGACCAGGCTGGGTAACATAGCAAGACCCCACCTCTACAAAAAATAACAAAAATTAGCTGGTTGTGGTGGTGTGTACTTGTAGTCCTAGCCTCTAGGGAGGCTGAGGTCAGAGGATCATTCCAGGACGCAGTGAGTTATGATCTTGCCACTGCACTCCAAACTGGGTAACAGAGTGAGACCCTGTCTCTTAAAAAAATAAATAAAATTTAAAAATTTAAAAACCTATGTCGTGGGCCAGATCACATGAGGTAAGGAGTTCAAGACCAGCCTGGCCAACATGGTGGAACCCCATCTCTACTAAAAATACAAAAAAATTAGCCAGGCGTTGTGCCACTTGCCCGTAATCCCAGCTACTCGGGAGGCTGAGGCAGGAGAATCGCTTGAACCCTGGAGGCGGAGGTTGCTGTGAGCCAAGATTGCGCCACTGCCCTCCAGCCTGGATAACAGAGTGAGACTCCATCTCAAACAACAACAAAACAACAACAACAAAATATACATATATAATATAATATAGATATAGATATATGTTGTGACCTAGGCACCTCTCTTGCTAACCTTAAGCCCAGCCCTGCACCCCTGCATCATCTGAAAGATGACTACTCATCTTTCACCCCACTACTCACAACAGAAACCTGGGTAGCCTGAGTCCTTCCTTGCCCTCACCCTCAGACTCAGTCCTTTGGCAAATCCTGTCAACTCTACCTCCCAAATAGTATCCACCATGTCCCTCAGTCACAGCCCCCACATAGGTCCCTGCCACTCAAGCTCTCTCTGGAGCAAACTACTCTCCCATCTGTCCCACGCAACAGCCAGGTGAGTTCTTTTTATTTATTTTTTATTTTTATTTTTTTGAGACAGAGTCTCGCTGTGTCACCCAGGCTGGAGTGCAGTGGCGTGATCTCGGCTCACTGCAAGCTCCGCCTCCCGGGTTCACGCCATTCTCCTGCCGCAGCCTCCGGAGTAGCTGGGACTACAGGCTCCCGCCACCCCACCTGGCTAATTTTTTGTTTTTCTTTTTCTTTTTTTTTTTTTTTTTTTTGTATTTTTAGTAGAGACGGGGTTTCACCGTAGTCGCGATCTCCTGACCTCATGATCCGCTCGCCTTGGCCTCCCAAAGTGCTGGGATTACAGGCGTGAGCCACCGCGCCCGGCTTTTTTATTTTTCTGAGATGGAGTCTCGCGCTGTCGCCCAGACTGGAGCGCAGTGGCGCGCACTGGAGTGCAGAGGGAGCACGCAAAGTATCAGGAGTGGAAAGGAGGCTGGCGGCCCAGCGGAAAGCAGGCTGGAGAGGAATTCAAGATGAAGGTAACATGGGCAGGGCGGCAGGGACCTTGAAGGCCTCCATCTTCTCAGCACTGGGAAGCCCTGTGGACGTGTTTTGAGCCGTGAGAGAAACACTCCTGTTTGCATTAAAAAAAATCAGCCAGGCGTGGTGCCTCACGCCTGTAATCCTAGCACTTTGAGAGACTGAGGCGGGCGGATCACCTGAGGTCAGGAGTTCAAGACCAGCCTGGCCAACACCGTGAAACCCCATCGCTACAAAAATACAAAAATTAGCCGGGCGTAGTAGTGGGCGCCTGTAGTCTCAGCTACCCGGGAGGCTGAGGCAGGAGAATCACTGGAACTTGGGAGGCAGAGGCTGCACTGAGCTGAGATCGTGCCACTGCCCCTCCAGCCTGGGCAACAGAGAGAGACTCCATCTAAAAACAAAAAACAAACAAACAAAAAAACATGTCCCTCAAGTGCCTTCGCTTTTCAGCACCATGCCCAGTCCATACCACAATGTGCATTTGGGTGACTGTGGGGTCACCCTCACCCCACCACACACACATGACCCTGAGCACCATTAGGACAGTAATCTGGGCTGTTTTGCTCCCTGTGGTATCCCTAGTAGCCATACACAGGAGGAGCTGAATCAAAGCATGCTGGATGAGCCATAGCTGAGGAAAGAAGGCCGGGCACCTGCCCTGATTATGGGCAGGGGGCCACATACCCTGGTTTGCTTGGGGAGGCCATGTTCACTTGTCTTTCCCACATAATAATAATGGTGCCCTGTTCACTCTCAAATGTCCCAATTTGGTGACATATGATCAATGTAGTTATTGGAAAGGAGAAGGGGTTAGCCCCGAGCTTCTGCTCTTTCCCAGCCCCACACTGGTTTCCCACTTGCCCCCAACAAGCACAACATTCAAAGCTTTTTCTTCTAACTCTTGAGATTTTTTTGTTGCTGTTAATATTTCCCTACATTGCCCTCAATCTCCAGAAAAAACATAAAATTCTCTCTGCCCATTTCACTGCAGAAGTGGCCTCCTGGAGGGTTACCATGGTGATCAGATGATGTCACTGTCCTGGAAACAGTTGCCTAGGAAATGTGTGATGTCACTTCCAGGAGATGATTCCCATGGTAACCATCTCAGTGGAATTGGGGGGTGGCCAGGAAATGGGGGCTGAGGGCGGATACAGAAGGGACAAATGTGAAGAGCGGAAGGAAAGGGGGAGGGGGAGAAATGCAGGAAAAAACCAGGAAGAGGAAGGGGACCTTCCCAGAGCAGTTGAAAATAATATACAGAATCTCAGAAATGGAAAGGTCCCCAGAGACCACTAAATGCAACAACCTCATTTTTACAGAGGCTGCTGAGAGGCCAGGACTTGCTCAAGGTCACACCGCCAGTTGACAGGTTAGAGCCAAGCCCAAGGCTGCATGACTGTCAGGTTTGGGTGGGGTAATAAAGGATTCCTTTCAGCCATTTCTCTTTGTTTTGTTTTGTTTTTTTCCCCGAGACAGAGTCTTGCTCTGTCGCCCAGGCTGGAGTGGCGCAATCTCGGCTCACTGCAACCTCCACCTCTCGAGTTCAAGCGATTCTCCTGCCTCAGCCTCCCGAATAGCTGGGATTACACATGTGCACCACCACACCCAGCTGATTTTTGTATTTTTAGTAGAGATGGGGTTTTACCATGTTGGCAAGGCTGGTCTTGAACTCCTGACCTTGTGATCCGCCCGCCTCAGCCTCCCAAAGTGGTGGGATTACAGGCGTGAGCCACCACGCCCAGCCTCAGTCATTTCTTTTTAAAAATTCTGACCTGTAATCAATGAGTTATTCATGAATTCATTACTGTGAGTTTGTGTGCTGGACCTGGAGAGGACCGTGAGTGACATTTTCCTAGTTACTTTATATCTTTTTAATGTATCTTCCCCACTTTTTTGTATCTCCCCACTCTAACACTGGAGTTAGCCCCCTGGTCCATGTCCATGTCTGTATAATTCACTAAGGTCTCTCCAGCCACCTGCCCAGTGTCTACCCCATAATGGCAGCTCTTCAATGTGTTTGTCAAATGAATGAAGACAGATAAATGCCATTGTGTGGTACAGACCCACAGTACTGGATCCCAAAGAAGGGATCGCAGTAGCTGACAGGGAGGAGGTAAGATTTCATAGATAGAATTCGAATAGGGCAAGAGAAGAAAGCCAGACAGGAGAGTAACGGCTTGAGCAAAAGTAAGAGCAGGCTGAACAAACTGGGTGCAGCTGGAGAGATTCCAGTTGGTGCTTTGATCCACCTCTTGAGTTATACTGTAACGGCAGTGCCTACTGTAACTGTAGTACCTCACTTTTTGAAGTGAAGGAGCTCCAAGCTTTAGGAGTAAGAAGCACATTAAGGTCCAGATTGCCTGGAGATGTGGGTGGGGCAGTAAAAAAGACCAATCTGGCTTAAAAGGCGAATGTAAAGAAGGTGATTGAGCAAAGGCTACCTGGCAAGGAAGAAAGAGGTCTTATCAAGGAAGACCTGGAGTGGCAGGCTTTCAGCCCCTGTCTTGAAGACAACATCGCATCATGAAAAGGATCTTGAAGCCCTGCACAAAGACATGCTCTGCCACTCCTCAGCTATGTGACCATAGAAAGTCACTTTTCCTCTCTGAGCTGCTAAATTGGAGCTATGACCTAATTCACAAGATTATTAGCTTGAACTTTAAAATGTAGGCTGGGCGTTGGCCGGGTGCAGTGGCTTACGCCTGTAATTCCAGTACTTTGGGAGGCCGAGGTGGGCGGATCACCTGAGGTCAGGAGTTCGAGACCAGCCTGACCAACATGGAGAAACCTGTCTCTACTAAAAATACAAAATTAGCTGGGCGTGGTGGCGCATGCCTGTAATCCCAGCTACTTGGGAGGCTGAGGCAGGAGAGTCGCTCGAACCCAGGAGGCAGAGTTTGCACTGAGCCAAGATTGTGCCACTGCCCTCCAGCCTGGGCAACAGAGAGAGACTCCGTCTCAAAAAAAAAAAAAAAATGTAGGCTGGGCGCAATGGCTTATGCCTGTAATCCCAGCACTTTGGGAGGCTGAGGCAGGAGGATCACTTGAGGTGAGGAGTTGGAGAGCAGCCTGGCCAACATGGTGAAACCCTGTCTCTACTAAAAATACAAAAATTAGCCAGGTGTGGTGCCATGCACCTGTAGTCTCAGCTACTCAGGAGGCTGAGGCAGGAGAATCGCTTGAACCTGGGAGGTGGACATTGCAGTGAGCTGAGAGTGTGCCACTGCACTCTAGCCTGGGCAACAGAGTGAAACTCTTGTCTCAAAAATAATAATAAAAAAATAAAAATGTACATAAAGCTTCACTTAGCAGGGTGACTGACTAGCTCACAAAAGACAGCAAATGTTATTTCCCCTCCCCTTCCTAGTACAGAATGGCATGGGAGTAGAACTTTGGGAAATGAATTTGACAATAGATTCCTTCAGGTTTGTTTGTTTGCTTGAGACAGGCTGTCACCCAGGCTGGAGTGCAGTGGTGTAATCAGGGCTCACTGCAGCCTCAACCTCCCAGGACCAAGCAATCCTCCCACCTCAGCCTCTCAAATAGGTGGGACTACAGGCATGCAACAACACAGCTGGCTAAATTTTTGTACTTTTAGTACAGATGGGGTTTTACTGTGTTGCTCGGGCTGGTCTCAAACTCCCGGACTCAAGCAATCCTCCTCCCACCTCGGCCTCCTAAAGTACTGGGATTACAGGTGTAAACCACCTTGCCAGGCTTGTTATAACATTTCTAGGACTCCTTTTCTCTAGTTGGGGATCAAAATATCCATGGCGTAGTGGAAAGAACCTTAAAGTAAGACAGCCCATTTCAATCTCAACCTTGCCTCTTACTAGCTATGCACGTTACATCACCGAATACCTGGTTTCCTCATGTGTTAAAAATATTAACATTCCTCACTGCTAAGGCTGCTGTAAAGATTCAGAGACCATGCATTCAAAGTACCCAAGACACAGTAAGTATTTGAGATGGTAATTTTTATTAGCCAGTCTAATGATTGGGTTTTATAATGAAAGAAGACCTGTTAAGTCACACCCAGCTCTGAATCATAGTGTTTGTGCTTGCCTGATAGTCACATCTGCTAAGATGAGGACCCTCTCAGTCTCTGGATGGCAGATTCTAAGGGTGTATGGGAGGAAGGTATGGAGGGCCTGATGGCCCACGCACAGCCTATTTAATCTTACAGAGCCAAGAGGAATCCTAGCTCCCTGATCCCGAAGGATTTAAGGACGGCCAAGAATTTACCCAACAATAGCTTCATTATCAAGAATCCTACCCCTTCCCCCAACTCAAAGAAATGGACTTTTGAGCAGGGTTTGAGGAGCTACTGGAAATCTGAAGCAATAGCAACAATAATTTTTTCTGGGGGGGGGGGGGGGGCGGGGACGGAGTTTTTGCTCTTGTTGCCCAGGTTGGAGTGCAATAGCGCGATCTCGGCTCACCGCAACCTCTGCCTCGCAGGTTCAAGCGATTCTCCTGCCTCAGCCTGCTGAGTAGCTGGAATTACAGGCATGCGCCTCCATGCCCGGCTAATTTTGCATTTTTACTAGAGATGGGGTTTCTCCATGTTGGTCAGGCTGGTCTCGAACTCCTGACCTCAGGTGATCCGCCCACCTCGGCCTCCCAAACTGCTAGGATTACAGGCGTGAGCCACCGCGCCCAGCCAACATCAATAAATTTAAACATCCCTTTTCAAGTATAATTTCTTCCATTCTAAGTGAAAACATTAAAAACACTGAAAGTCTCCTAAGGGTGAAATGTGTTGTATCCATTTTCTTTCTAGTCTCAACCCAAAGAGCATGGCAGTTAAGAGAACCAGGGACAAGGATTCGGGATCTGAATGCTACTCCAGATGCACCAATTTTGCCATGACCTAGAAAGCTATTTCATTTCTCTGGACTTTAATTTCTCATGCTGTAACATTGAGATGACCCCTTCTTAACGATTTGAGAAAGTTATCTTGACAAGTTTTAAAACGTTTTAAGTAGAATTGGGGAAAAAATATGCAGCAGTGAAGACTTCCAGGCTTACATCACATGTAATTTACAGCACCCTCTTAGGTCCTTTCAAAGAGCCTCATCTATTATTTATGTGGCTAACCTCCTTTTCTTTCTTTTTTTTGAAACCGAGTCTCACTCTGTTGCCCAGGCTGGAGTGCAGTGGGACAATCTCGGCTCCCTGCAACCTCCGCCTCCTGGGTTCAAGTGATTCTCCTGCCTCAGCCTCCATCGTAGCTGGGATTACAGGCACCAGCCACCACACCCAGCTAATTTTTGTATTTTTAGTAGAGGCGGGGTTTCACCATATTGGTCAGACTGGTCTCGAACTCCTAACCTCAAGTGATCCACCCACCTCAGCCTCCCAAAGTACTGGGATTACAGGCATGAGCCACTGCACGCGACCTATGTGGCTAACATTAATCACGTATGTCCATACTTCCCCATACCTCATTCCCAAAGAAGGTGCCTTACACACCATGAACTTAGATTAAAACATAACCCAAATCCTACACTTAAAAAATGAGGGACCTGAACCTCAAAGGTGGCATGGCTTGCCAAGGTTCCCCAGGCCCCCCAGAGGGCCGTTAAAATTCTGAATAAATCTTGGGTGGAAGCTGTCCTCTAGCTTACCAGCTGTATAAATTCCAGAGATCCACAACCTTTGCACTTTAGCTTCCTCATCTGTAAAGTGGGACAAAACCTTTCAGAAGACAGCTGTAAAACGTAAATGTGAATGCTTTAGCAACTGCAAAGGACATTTCAAATGTAAAAGCGACCGGGCACAGTGGCTCATGCCTGTAATCCCAGCACTTTGAGAGGCTGAGGTGGGAGGATCACTTGAGGTCAGGAGTTCAAGACCAGCCTGGCCAACATGGTGAAACCCCATCTCCACAAAAATACCAAAATTAGCCGGGCACGACAGTGGGTGCCTGTAATCCCAGCTACTCAGGAGGCTGAGGCAGGAGAATCACTTGAACCTGGGAGGCAAAGGTTGCAGTGAGCTGAGATCGTGCCATTGCACTCCAGCCTGGGTGACAAGAGTGAGACTCCCATCTCAAACAAAAAAAGAAAATGTAAGAGCCCTTTGTGTGTGTGTGTGAGAGAGAGAGAGACAGAGAGAGAAAAGAGAGAGAGAGAGAGGTCTTGCTATCAGAGACAGAGAGAGAGAGAAAAAAAGGTCTTCCTATCTCCCAGGCTGGGGTACAGTGGAGCAATCACGGCTCACCGCAGCCTCGACCTCCCGGGCTCCATCCTCCCAAGCAGCTGGGACTACAGGCGCACGCCACCATGGCCCAGCAACATTTTGTCTACGTGCTTATCAAAAGCAAGTATTAGCCATATAAAGCTTGTTGACTTTCAAATACCTGACCTACTAACTGAAGTGAAACTCAATAACCACTTTATCTTAAAATTAGGTCAACTTGAAACAGGCTTCCTGAGCCGTATTCATCGGCCCCGGCATGGGGGGCGGGGCTCATACTCTACTTCAGAATAAGAAACAGGTTAAACTTACATGCTTACAAGTTATGTGCTCCACAATATAAATTCAAGGACAGAGATTGTGTCATGGCCATTTCCATCAGTCTAATGCCAAACTTTAGTCAAGAAGGTGTTTAAGGCTGGGCACGGTGGCTCACGCTTGTAATCCCAGCTCTTTGGGAGGCCAAGGTGGGTGGATCACATGAAGTCAGGAGTTTGAGAGCAGCCTGGCCAACACTCAAAACCTCATCTCTACTAAAAATACAAAAATTAGCCTGGTGTGGTGGTGGCGTCTGTAATCCCACCTACTCAGGAGGCTGAGGCATGAGAATGGCTGGAACCTGGGAGGTGGAAGCTGCAGTGAGCCGAGATCATGCCACTGCACTCCAGCCTGGATGACACAGCGAGACTCCATCTCAAAAAAACAAACAAATAGAAAAAGGCGTTTAAGGGTTCTGTGTAACTGAACCAACTCACCTAACAAACGTTCATTCCTAGGTGCCACTCTGGAGGTGATAAAAATCGTGAGGAGCTGGAAACCACCTCACTCAAGAACAGTCAGCCAGTGATGCTGAGGCTCGAGAGACACATTGGGGTTAAGCAAGTGTTTAAGGGGTAGGTTAGGCTTTTTAACTCAATGAGGTTTGCTTTTCTATTTTAAAGAATACTAAATGCTTAACAATAATCACTAAAGATTTCAGGGGTGCAAGTTGTGCCCCTAGTATCTTATTACATTAAGAAAACTTGAGGACGTGTATAAGCTCCGTATTTACCTTCAGTGTTAAATACACTCTCAAGTTCAACAGAGCCCACAATGTTTCAGAGGTGCTATACTGTGGAAGACTGCATTTTGTTCTGCGAGGCTCATTAAAAAGCACCAGTTATCAGGAAAATTGATCAGAGAGGCTATGTTAGCTGGGTTCACAGAAAACTATTTAAAATCTATGAATCCTATGTGTGTGCTGCAAAATATGTAATGTAATGAGAGGGGAGGAAAACTTGGATAATGTACTACAAATGCTTCCATGTTTGAGAGATTCAAACCACAATTTGTGACTGGTTAAACAGTTCCTCGAGGGGGGAAAAATCAAGACCAAACAGAGATAATATCCCCAAAGCAGCATTTATTTACCCATTGAATTCCAAAACATTTATTTTAGAAGTCTGGCATTTCATAATCACCCATCTTGATTGACATGGGCTGACACACATGGCGCTGTCAGGATACACAAGGACAATAGCCAAAGAGTTACAAAAAATAAATCCATGATTCTTAAACAATTGCAACCAAAAAAAAAAAAAAGTTACAAGTATCAAAACTTTCAGATGCATTGCATTGAAAAGAAGGTTTGTGCACGTCATAATTTAAAGAGGCAAAACCAAGGAGCTACTGAAACCTCACGTTAAACAGTTTATTATAAAGCTGATGGAAAGGAGCAAGTTGTCTCTCTGTATCAGCTTCCCTTAACAGTTTTCCATTAATTGAAGAAAGAGGTGGGAGGGGTGAATTCATTTTTGCATGCACAAGATGTACTGCTTAACGAAACACTATCAGCTTGTTTTAAATGGATCTTTTAAATATCAACTGTAGCCTGGTTGGCTAATTCTTTCTAATCTTCCCCATTACTTTCGCCTAGATTTCCCATAGATCAACAGGCATAGTAAAATGCCTCATCAGAACACACTTCTCCACACAATTCAAAAAGGGAGCTCCTGTGGGCTCAAAGCAACCATCAGTCCAGCAATGCCCATGATTTATCTGAAACTGCTTCCCAAGAGACAGGAGTGCAGATCTGAGTAGCTGTGCTGCCAATACAGATAGGTTTAGCACTAGATATTTAGTGATTGTGGCAAGGAAGAATCGGTGATGATGGGGGTGGTGGGTGAAGGAAGGGCCAGGGGACCTGAAGGATCTTCAGTTGCCTTCTCCTGCTTCTTCATCCTGCTGGTCGCTCGTCCAGAGGGTGAGGTTGTCTCGCAGCAACTGCATGATCAGCGTGGAGTCCTTATAGGAATCCTCGTTTAGTGTGTCCAGCTCAGCTATGGCATCATCGAAGGCTTGTTTGGCTAAGAGGCAGGCTTGCTCAGGTGCATTCTGGATCTCATAGTAGAACACGGAGAAGTTGAGGGCCAGGCCCAGCCGGATGGGATGCGTGGGTTGCATCTGCTCTTTGCTGATTTCAAAGGCTTCCTTGTAGGCAGCTTCAGAAGCTTCGACCACACTGTTTTTCTTCTCCCCAGAAGCGACCTCTGCTAAGTAGCGGTAGTAATCACCCTTCATTTTCAGGTAAAACACCTTGCTCTCATACTGGAAATCATTGCAGTTCTTGATCAGGAACTTGTCAAGCAGAGACAGGACATCATTGCAAACTGTCTCCAGCTCCTTCTCAATCTTCTCCCGGTAAGCTTTAACTTTCTCCAATTTCTTTTCGTTTCCATCAGCCATGGTTTTCTGCTCAATGCTGCTAATGACCCTCCAGGAAGATCGCCTGGCACCAACCACATTCTTGTAGGCCACAGAGAGGAGATTTCGATCTTCATTGGAGAGAGGTTCATTCAGCTCTGTCACCTGCAAAACCCCAAAAAGATAAACATTGAAAGCAAAATCTGAAAATCTTGGTAAGAAGCCTTCCCTTCAACATAATCAACAATCCTTCTCAAGAACGGAATTACGAACAGGTCAGTCACTCTGGAGAATAAAAACCACCCATGGATAAAACCAATATAGACATGAACCCTATGTGAAGAAAGACTATAGTCTAACAGAAGAGATAAATACTTGGCACCCAAAACAGAAAATCATAGGGGCTTGAGAAATTCATAATTCGGGTCTGATAAGATGTTGCTTTCACCTTGGTAGAGGAATGGGACTAAGGATAATTATGAAAAGGTTGTACAGCAGCAGTACATAATGGTGAAGAAGAAAACCTCGAGCTTCAGCCATTCTGCAAAAGATACTCTGAACAGGCCGGGCGCGATGGCTTATGCCTGTAATCCCAGCACTTCAGGAGGCCAAGGGCGGGCAGATCATGAGGTCAAGAGATCGAGACCATTCTGGCCAACATGGTGAAACCCCATCTCTACTAAAAATACAAAAATTAGCTGGGCGTGGTGGCACGCGCTTGTAGTCCCAGCTACTTGGGAGGCTGAGGCAAGAGAAACTCTTGAACCCGGAGGTTGCAGTGAGCCCAGATCGTGCCACTGCACTCCAGCCTAGCTAGCGACAGAGCAAGCCTCCGTCTCAAAAGAAAAAAAAAAAAAAAAAAAAGATACTCTGAACAGTAAGATCGTACGGTCCCTTTGTCAAATGTTCAAAGACAACAGACTGGAAGTGTTCCAGACTCTGCTTCCAGCTTTATACTCTGGAAAGAACCAACCACTCCTCAAATACACATTAACAGATGGTGGGGCTTCACAGATCAGATGGAACATCACACAGATCCAGTGGCCAGAGCTTCGCCCTGTGTGGCTACACATGGAACCCTAACTGATACTCCCAGCCCTCTCCCAAACCAAAATGAAGAACAATTCATAAGTGACATGAAAGTACCCCCAGCTCCTAGTGAAAGGAAGCACAGCTACTCAGCAGGAAGTTGTACTCTGACCTACCTCACAGGAAACTCTGGTCATCAAGGATGGAAGCATCAATTATTTTAAGTGGAAGAGTTAAATTTCACAAGCTTTAACTTCCCTTAGTTCTCCATGATGCCAACTACAAGTGAACTAGCTATGCAGTTAGTAGGAAGAGCATTATTAGACTTTGCAGTGGTTGAACTGTATCCCCCGCCAAAAGATACGCTGAAGTTCTGACCCTAGGTTCCTGTGAATGTGAGCTTATTTGGAAATAGGGTCTTTGCAGATGTAATTAGTTAAGATGAAGTCATACTGGACATTAGGGTGTGCCCTAAGTGCAATTACAGGTGTCCTTATAAGGATAGTGAGATTTTGACACACACACAGGAAGAATGCCATGTGACAGTGGAGGCAAAGACTGGAGTGACGCATCTACAAGCCAAGGAACACCAAGGGTTGCCAGAAGCCACCAGAAGCTGGGAGAGTGCCTAGGAAGGATTCTTCCCTAGAGCCTTCAGAGGGAGCGTGGCCTGCCTACACCTCACTTTCAAACTTCTAGCGTCCAGAACTATGAGAGAATACATTTATTATTTTAAACTATCCAGTTTGTCGTACTAGGTTCAGCACCCCCTAGGAAACTAACAGAGTTTCCTAACAAGAGTTCCTAACAGAGTTGCTAACAGAGTTGGTCTGGGCCCAAGCAAAGAAAATGACTTCCTAAATTGACCCAGGACATTTCACAAGCCCTTAAAAGATGGTGTGTCGTCTAAAGTAGAGGGATTCCTTAATATGACCTACTGGTAAAGGTCTTTAATTTTATTAAATCAGTCTCTGCTTATCCAAAAGGTCTTTAATTTCAATAATGAAAAAAAAGAAAGCAAAGCACTTAGGAAACCATAAAACACTAAACAAAAAAGGTATTACTTAAACCAATCTGTAAGGACAGAACCTCCAGAGGGAAAAGGCCAAGTTCATTGGGGAAAGTTATCAATAGCATATTCAAATAGACACACTTAAAATGGATTGAGAAGACTGAGCAGTGGAGTATCAGAAATCATGAACAATGATGGTTTATTTGGGGAATTAGTGGTTCAAGGACATAAGCAGCAAGTGTAATCATTATTACAGGTAAAAATCAGAAAACGTGCCAAGTTCTCACAAAGTAAAACAAGCAATTGTCTGAGTCCTCCCTACCCCCAAGCCCCAGACAAAATAAAAATACCAGCTCACTCTTAATTTCTCCATTTCCCTGTCCCCAGGACCCCTACTCTTCTGCTACAAACCCTTAACACAGGCAAAGTCTCTCCTTTGCCTACCCACTTCTTTCTTCAGTGTGGTCTTTGGCTAACAGCTATCCTGACCATTCCCCAGGGGTGCTGCCTCCACTCTGGTCAAGCCAGGGTTCTCATTATTCATCCTCACATATTCATTAGTAGTCTCCATACCTCTCACTGTGATCTGCCCCAGTCTACCATGAATCTACAATCCATGCTCCCCTTAAATCCAGCTGAACACCTATAACCCCACTAGTTTCCTCCTCCAGTAAGTGCCTTTAAACACTTACATACATTTTCTTACGGAAAATAGAGACTTTGTAAATATTTAATAACTTAGTCTTTTTTTGCCCACATCAGAGGGTCACATGTCTATGTTGTAACAAGGTTTGAGGGTGGCACATCTCACACCTGCATGTCAAAACCCAATCATCACACTTATGAACTACAAAAAGATGAGTAACTACTTAGTCTTTTAACGAACAACACTTCTGAATCAAAATTCCATCCCAAATATTCTGATAAATTTCAGAATGCTTGAATCCTCTAGAATGACTTGCGTTTCTAGAGCAATATTCAATAAAACAAAGCATAAGGCAACAACAGAATTTGGAGAGCTCCTTTCATCTTGTAGTAATTAAACTAAGGCCATTTGGCATTAAAATACAAATAATATCCATAAGGAGTCACAATATACTTCCTCCTGTGACTAACAAAGCTGCTTCTGTGAAACTGGCAAAGATACACCAAGGTAACTTCCCAGAGTATATCATTTAAAGTGAGTACAAATCTGAAATACATGTATGTATAATACAGAATGCTTGCATAACACAAAAGGCGGTATAATTATTAAACCCAAGACATCTGAAGTTTAGTCTGAGCTAGCTATGTGACCTTAAACAAATCACAACCTTTTTGGACATCCAAAGTAAAATAAGCAGGATTAGCCCAAATGATCTCCAAGGCCTCCTTCAGCTCCAATGTTCCATGATTTCGTTTTTCCTGTGCACCAATAAAAGGTGTGGCAGGGCTTCCTACTAACGTGAAGTTTGGGTGTATCTGTAAGCATATTCTTTCTCCATCAGGAATAAGCTGCCAAAAAAGGCTACTGGGCAGTATTTATGATGACACCTTCACAAGAAAAATCATTTACTGGGAGTATTAGTGTTTATGTAAAAATCATCTGGTTGCCTGCCAGTCTGAATGAATCACTATCAGCATTAGCTGAGGGTGACTAACATATCTCAGCAAGCAAATATTGTTCCTAATACCCCAGCCAGAGCCTAACTAGGAAATAACTGGATACATTTAAATACAGTATTTTTTAATACTCCTGGGTTATAATTCAGTTAACAAAAGGAAACATGAAATGAAGATGGCTTACTACTTGACCAGATAACTAAAGAAAACTGAGTTTTTCCCAGACTGGAAAATTATAGACCCATGTAAAATCAGACAGTCCATTAAAACAAAAAGATGGATAGCCAATCTTGATGGATGATACTTAGCACCAGTTCCCAACACTTCAAATACCAAAATACAGGAGCCAGGAGAACTAATGAAAAGTTCAGTCATAAACTGTACTGAGAGGCAAACACCGGGTGGCAACACAGAGTAATGGATGCTCTCCAGGCCCCGACCATGCTACCTAAGATCATCTGCAAAATCTAATGAAATCACATTTGCTGCATCTCCACAAATCAGGAACATGAAGCAACAACAAGACAGAATTTTACAGACAGGCCTAGACAATAGTTTTCAGCCTCTTTCCGCTCTAACACCAAGATTACAACAGTCATTTCTGCCACACGGCACCTTCCCTCAGTGTAGCCACACTAGGCACTGAGTCTTCACCGGGCCACAAACCAGGGGTTTCGCCACCCCTGCTCACAGCCTCTCTGCTTTCTAGGTGTCCTGCCTGCCTTCCCACCCTCTGTAATCCTACTTACACCCTTCCTGAAGGACAACCTTAAACTGATGGGCTCTTCCCATGCACAAAGGCCCTCCTCTCCATTTCTTTTAAGGATTGGACTTCCCTGTCAGCCAGTTTTACTCACGTCCTGACCAAACAGCCTTTGGCTACACCTAGTCCCCACCCCAGGGCACTCACTTCACACATTTTCTCTGCTCCAGGACTACCCCCAACATTACTAAATGTCAAAAATGACCTGGCCTGCTGATCATTCACTTATCTTCCTATGACACTATTCATTTACCCAAAAACCCCTAAGGGCCTCCACCCACTACTCACAAGGCAAAAAACTATGTGTGTGAGTAAAAATAGATCCACTGCCAAAAACAGTACAGGGACTATTTAGGAAAATTTAAAGTTCTCAATCTGGGAAACATCCAACATCAAAAGTAACACTGAGCAAACAAAAATGCCACCCCCGAGCTGCCAGGCCATAGCTGCCTAAGTTAGGGGTAATGCTACCTCACTCGAATATGCTGCCATCCTTCACAGCTCCACACATGCTATGGGCTCATCCTTTATAGCTACCCACACCTACATGCTATCAACCAGCTTGCTTTTGATATGAGTAAATGATTCTCATGATTAAGTAAACATAACCACATCATAAAACCTTTAAGCTTCTTTGGCAGAAGTGTGTGTGTACGTGTATGTGTGTGTGTCTGTGTGAGAAAAGTCAGTTTGAGGGTTTGAGGGGCCAGGTGTGATGGCTCACACCTGTAATCCCAGCACTTTGGGAGGCCAAGGCAGGCGGATCACTTGAGGCCAGGGAGTACGACACCAACCCAGTCAATATAGAGAAACCCCATCTCTACTAAAAATACAAAAATTAGCTGGGCATGGTGGCGTGCACCTGTAATCCCAGCTACTTGGGTGGGACATGACAATCGCTCGAACCCAGGAGGTGGAAGTTGCAGTGAGCCAGGACTGTGCCACTGCACTCCAGCTTGGGCGACAGAGCAAGACTCTGTCTCAAAAAAACAAAAAATGAGCTAGAGGGATGAAAGCTTGCTGAGCTCTTTCCCAAGTTAATGCTTAGGAAGTGAGGATCTTGCCTGGCCTGCCCCAAGCTGGAAAGATATCCACCAACAGACCAAGTCCTACAGGCCACTGGGCAAGAACATCACCAGCCAGGGTCAGGCTGAGCCCCTTATCCTCACCAGGATGAGGCTGCAATTCTGTAAGACCACAAATAGGCTAAACTTCAAGCTCAGAGCAGGCAAGTTCGGGTAAGTAACATCCACTCTAAGCTAAATTTTAGTCAAATAAAACAGCTACCCTTGTATAGCCAAGAGACTGTTTTTGCCTTGCTTTTGACATAACTGAACATTTTCATGGGGATTGGCAAGGATTAAATACAACACCATCTGAATGGCATTACTGCATGCTACTGTCCCTAGAGGCATCCGAATTGAAGGCTTCAGAAGCTGTGCCAGGTTCGGATCATTGGAAGTGCTAACACTCACCACCGCAGAAGGGAATGCCACTGCAGCCAGGAGTAGGGGCGGGAGGAGCACCAAAATGCTGGGACAGAAGACAAGCTGCCTCCACTTGGACACTAGGAGGAATTTTACCAGCAACCTAGAGACAGAAATTTTGGGGCCTGCATAAAAATATACTAAAGGGTGCAGGGAGAAAAATACATTAAAGGCAATATGGAGAAACAACTGGTGCCAAGAATATGAAATAATTTCTTAAAATACCCCAAATAAAATGTAACATAGTCCTGCACTTCTTAACTCAGGAGAAACTCAAATTCAATACTTTGTTAAGCAAAAAAAAAAAAAAAAAAAAAAAAAAAAAAAAAAAAAAGGCCTCCAAGCCTTCAGAACAAGCAAAATCCAGATATGTGAGTTTCCCTCTTATGTTTCTCTGTTGTAGCTAAAACCCATAAATGGCAGATTGTTCTTAATCGTATTTGGAAAAAAAAAATGACTTGCACCCAACAGATAAAATTATTTGTTTAGTAAGCCCACTTATGAAGAGTTCTTGGATTTCAGTCACCAGTGCTGACAATGGTTAATATACCAGAATGTATACTAGACATATTATCCCTTTGCCTCATGGGGCATTGTTACATAGTGGTTAAAATGAGAGCTCTAAATTTGAGTTTGAATCTTGAATTCACAACTTACTAGCTGTTTGACCATGAGAAAATCAACCTCTGAAAGTCTCATTTGTAAAGGGGAGTAACAGTACCTATCCTGAATTGTTAAACAAGAATGTACACATGGAAGGTGGCGGGCACCTGTAGTCCCAGCTACTTGGGAGGCTGACACAGGAGAATGGCGTGAACCCAGGAGGCGGAGCTTGCAGTGAACCAAGATCCTGCCACTGCACTCCAGCCTGGGTGACAGAGCATGACTCCCCCCCCCACCAAAAAAAAAAGTACACATGGACTAACAGCTACCGTTTACCAAGTGCCTAAAAAGTTAAATAAGTTCTAACCAAGCGCAGTGGCTCACGCCTGTAATCCCAGTACTTTGGGAGGCCGAGGCAGGTGGATAACCTGAGGTCGGGTGTTCAAGACCAGCCTGACCAACATGGAGAAACCCCATCTCTACTAAAAATACAAAATTAGGCGGGCATGGCATGGTGGTGCATGCCTGTAATCCCAGCTACTTGGGAGGCTGAGGCAGGAGAATTGCTTGAACCCGGGAGGCAGAGGTTGCAGAGAGCCGAGATTGCTCCATTGTACTCCAGCCTGGGCAACAAGAGCGAAACTGTCTCAAAAAAAAAAAAAAAAAAAAAAGTAAAATATGTTATATAAACTTGCTAAATGTAACACACACACACATAAAACGTTAGGGGTACCCTCTCCGAAACCGTATTTCTGGAAAAGTGTGACGCTACAGTCTGTCACTGATATAAAATCCCAGACAAAGACCAACTAAAGAAAATCCCCACCAAAGAAAATACATTTTTGGTTTCTTTAAGGGAGTCAGTTCCGGACTGTGGAAGTTCTTCTGGGGATAATTCAGGGACCCAAACCCACATGGGGACTACAGTTTCTATTTCAGTGCAAGAAAGCCACGTAAGCTGTTTGCCCACCTGAAAGGACCTTTTAAATTCAAACTATTACAAGAATAATCCAGAGCCTTCTTCCTTCCTCAAAGACGATTACATTTTAAATGCCCAGTTAGTGGGAAACATAGCTCCCTAGTTTTTACATATTTCAAACTGTAGTATCAATGTGGCTTTAAGATTTCCTACTGGTTGGGTGTGGTAGCTCACTCCTGTAATCCCAGCACTTTAATAGGCTGAGGCAGGAGGACTGCTTGAGGCCAGGAGTTTGAGACCAACTTGGGTACCATATAGAGATCCTGTCTATACAATTTAATAATTAGCTGGGCACGGTGGCATGCATCTGTAGTCCCAGCTGCTCAGGAGGTTCACTTGAGCCCAGGAGCTCAAGGCTACAGTGAATTATGATCGTGCCACGACTGCACTCCAGCCTGGGTTCCAGAACGAGACCATCTCTTTAAGAAAAAAAAAAAAAATACTAATCACACCTCAAAATCCTCCTACTCTCTGTGACACTGATCTGTCTCACCTGGGGCAGTCAGCTGTGCACTTTTACACAGCACCTGCTCATTTCCCCACTTCCCAGAATCTCACAGTTGTTGCAACAACAGCCTTTTGCCAGTGGTTGGGCCAAATGCCCCTCCTCTCCGACTCCTGTTTCCTTAAACTGTAGTTTTGTTTCCTGCACTTAAGATTTCTAGGGAGCCGCTGTGGCTCAGGCCGGTTGCCCTGGCACTCGGGGAGGTGAGGCTACACGTTCGAGGCCAACCTGGTCAACACTGATTAAAAAAAAAAGATTTCTATATATATATTCTGCAGGTACTTTAAACGTGTTTCTGCCCGTTTTCTGTCAACACTGTAATCAACTGGTGTATCAGTGTTAAAACACAATGCTAGCCCAGTAATTTTTACATTTGATAACTTTACAGTTACCATCTATGTTTTAATATAAAATAGATGACTTAGGGCCATAATACATGATGAAATTATGTCTGTCTATGAATATCCACCAGAAATCTATCTGGTTATTTTCCCTCTTTCCTTAAATCACTTAGTCTTCTGGACTAACATTTAATCCCACTTTATAGGTTTATTTCAGTTATCAAATGGTATTTACAGAGACTACGAATTGTGTAGCCTAGAATTGCCTAGCCTAGAAAGGACTTAGGTTCTAGAATCTTTCACAATATTTCTTCCCACTATTATACTCTATGCAAGCTGGTAGGTATGAGATAGAGCTTGAAGATACTCCTTTATGCTTCACTTCAGAAACATTTCTTGCTTCTTCAAATTATGGAGAGAAGCAGGGAAGAGAAGTTCTCAACAGGTTTGAGGCAAGACCATTGTTTCCAGTATGCACGATTTTTCTTCAAGCTTACCAACACTGTCCTCCAGGTGACGCTGGTAGAATGAGGAACATCAATCATTACAGGAAGGCAGTATTATCAAGTGAGCATTTTAATTATGAAGGAAACAGAAAACAAGTTAGAAGACTGAAGGCAAAACTGACTTGTTAATAACAGCAACATCACTAGTTTTATACTTCAGAGGACCTAAAGCCAAGATGTAAGTTTCAAGGTTACAGACTGGTGGCATCAGAATATATCCTTAACACATGTGTCCTGCTCCATCCTCCCTACAGCAGGCTACTTACCTGCCCTTCCCCAGCCCTGAAGAAAGCCCAGGTAAACCCAGAGGGTTACTGAAACTTACACCCTTTCCAAAAGCCTTAGTTAAGGCTGATGAGATTAATAACATAGAGACTGAGTCATCCCAGTAACATTAAGAATTTAATCTACAAACACCAAGTTAGCAGGGAAAGTGACCCCTGCCAGTCCCTTCCAATATATTCTTTTTTTTCTTTTAAAGAAAATACCTATAAGCACAATATATTCCATTTAGATGATGGGGGAGAAATGGTTTATCACCATTCTGAGATGGCAGAATTAAAGCTTGGATTGACTCTTCTACGCTGGGTGGCTTTTCCAACTCATTAATTATTTCAAATATAGATATTATAGATTCCTTTGGTTTACAAAAGGCTACCTTAACCCTCCAGAGAAGATCTATGGACACAAGTAGCTTGCTGCAGGAAAGCATTTTACAAGCCTACTAGAAAGCCAGTCTTTTTCTCTGCTCAAACTAGATTTCGTTCTGGTAACATCTCTCCATTCTTGCCTTTTTCCCCCATTTCAAGTTGCCTCAGGTTTCTGATTGTTCCAGAACACACCTTCTAGCCATTTTTCCTTAACCTCCATTTCCCCTTCCTTTAAACCTCGTCCCTCCTTTCTTTTCACCACATTTATTTCCCAAAGGGCTCCGAACACTGCAGTCTTTACGTCTCACTTAGAGGGTGAGCAACCACTTCATGAAAATGTGTGGAGAGGCCTCAGCCTGCATAATCCCAGCACCACTCAGTTACTGGGGAGGAGGGGCTTAAGTGTGACCTGCTGTGGACAGAGGCAGCTTTATCCCACAGAAAATTAAGGTTCAGGGTCCCTTCCAAGGAAATGCATTCGTCAGTCCCATTTTTGTAAAATATGCAAAACTATATTTTAGATTTTCTTTTAAAGGACCCCCTGAATTACATAAAGTTCAGCCTCCAGACCTAGACCGTCCCCCGGTCTGGAAGAAAACCTGCCTCACCACAACAGCATGCTAATAGTGCTCAAGTCAAGATCACCAACAAATCAACATACGGGCAACGGTGTTGCTGGTTTCCAAACACACCCAGTTATGTGTGTAACAAGGACACCAGAGGAAAGGCAACTCTTCAAGCACCTTTCTTACCTGAACAATCCTAAATATTGGCCCCAACTACATATTTCATCTGATATTAACATCAAAAGCCTTCAAATGAGCTTTCCAAATGACTTAAGATTTTAGGGAGCCTTTGTATTGGCAGTTTTTTTTCGGAACTCCCTCCAAAAGGCCAGCAAAGGATACATTTACTATAATCATGGGCAGTAATTCTCAGACTTAAGCCAGCTAAAAATCGCCTGTGAGAGCTGGTTACAATGCAGATGTCTGAGTCTCACCGCCCGAATTTCTGAATGTATAGGTCTAAGGCGGAGTTCAAGGGGATCCTCCCAGGTCTCAGGAGGTTGTACACTGAACATAGGTTGGTGGTCGCAGTTGTTCTACCACTGTGTGACCTTGACGCAGGGAGAGGAAATATTCATTTACAGAAAACGTAAAATAACGTGGAGAGAGAGTGAGATGGTAACCGGAACTCAGAAATGCAGGTGGTGTGTGACCCACGGTATTTTGCTAGGGTGTGGCTGGGCACGACTCATCCACCGGAGAAGCTGCAGAATCGATTTATGAGGGTCTCAGGAATGCAAAGACACACAGATTCGTCTCACCTAGAAGTCACGTTTCATTTTAATCTCCAAGCAGACAGCGCAGCAGCAAACCTGGGGCTGTGGAGTGGGGCCCCACACCCTCCGCCCACTCTCCCGCCCCCGTCCACGCCTAGACTGCAGGAAAGGGGTCTTCGCACACAAAGCCAGACCCCCAGGCGTGGGAAGATGGAACCAGAACAATTCGAACGAGCAGAGCAAAACAGATCGGAATTGCAGACTTCAGGTCGTGGCAGAGAAAACCAGCTGAGACAGGGCGCCACTTACTAGGTGATTCTTTATTCCAAGTTGGGGAACGGAGGAAGACGAGAGGGGGAGCCCCCGGGTCCGGTGAAACGCTCTAGGAGAAATGCGGCTCCTTCGCGTCCCCTAGGGCACCCTCTGCCCCCGGCCGGGTTCCGAACTAAGATGTGGCGACCCCGACCGGCCCGCCCCCCTTCCGGGGCTGCCTTCGCGATCCCGAACTGCACCCTCCCGGATCCCCCACCCTGGGCCCAGCCTCAGGAAGTGGCGGGGCGCCCAGCGGGAGCGGGAAGCGCGGGCTAAGGGCGGGCGGGCGGCCACGCCCAGCCGGGTCGCCGGGTCGCCCATGGCCGGGAGGGGAACGCGCCCGCGGCCATCCCCGTCCCTCCCCAACGCCAGGCCCCCCCCGGCCAGCCGCCCGGGCTCCCGGCGCGCTCACCGCCTTCATAGCGGAGGCCATGTCGTCGTAGCGCTCCGCCTGCTCGGCCAGCCGCGCCCGCTGCAGCAGCTGCTCCCGGTCCCCCATGTCGCTCGCGGCTCGGCCTCGCCTCGCGCCTCACACCGCTGGCTCGCTAGCCCTCCCGCCGGTCAGTCCGCTCCCCGGTCGCTGCGGAGGCCGCCGCCGCGCACGCGCACTGGCTCGCCGGCCGGCCGGAGGCTGCAGGCTGCAGGCTGCAGGCAGCGCCGCCGCTCGCGCCCTCTCGCTGGCTCGCCCCGCGCGCTGTGGCTCGCGCCGCGGACAACGCCGAGGGAGGAGACGCGGCCGCGCTGGGGGATGGGAGGACGGGACGACGCCTGCGCAGTGAGAGTGGCCAGGCCGGGCGGCGGGGAGCGGCGGGAGTGGGAGGGGGGAAGGGCGGGCCGGCCCTAACGGTCTATTTCAAGGTGACGTCACCTACTATAAATAGCCACCGCCGCCGCCGCCGCCCGGCCTGAAAGCCGCGCAGGCGCTCTGCGAGTGCTGCATTTTACCGCCGCAGAGATGGAGGTGGAGAAGGGAAAGCCGGGCAGGAGACTGCGGAGCCGGTGGAGGGGGCGCGGTGATGGCGGCTGCACAGGCAGTGCATTGTCATAGCCCCACCCTGAAACGCGCCACTCCATCCACGTTAGAGATCTGGCTTGAGAAGGGCCCCAAAAGCAAGCAAACATACTGGCGGAGAAGCCGGGAGACCGCGTGCCCCGAGGGGCGGGTCCGCCCAGCCCCGCCCCAGCCGTCCCGCCCGCCCCGAGCCCTGCCTGTCCATGCGTTCTGCTGGGCCACACCTTGTACTGGTCCGGGCAGGATCGAGTCCGACCCTCGGGGACAGCCCCGCTACACAGACACACACAATCGAACCCAACCTGAGACGTAGCCTTGGGCAGGCTGTGCCTTCCACCAGAGGAGGGGACTGGGTGGCCAGGGCGGGACAAGTAATATTCAGGACACATTAGGAGCCAGCCCAGTGCTAGTCCCGTACAAGCATCCTCCTCTTTAATCCTCACTACCCAGCCCACAGTGGGCACAGCTGGTCTCCCCATATTTAAAACGTGGAACCTGAGGAAAAGCGAGGTTAGTGACTTGCTCAGGGTTACGCAGCCTGTAAGTGGTGGGGCCAGGATCTGAGTCCAAACCCAGGCTGAACTTTCTCTTGTGGCAAAGAGCTGGGGTGGCCCAACTGGCTGGTCACTGAGCCCCTCCCAATCCTGGCTGGTATTGGATGCTGAGGGTCCCTTGTGCCAGGCCCTGGACTGGGCTGCCCGACAAGCTAGGAAAATGATGATTAAAACAAGGCCCCCACTTGATTTCAACACGCCAAGGGCAGTGCAGGAGAGGGGGCCTTGGGCTCGCTGAGAATTTTATTGAGCATCTACTGCATGCTCAGCCCACAGGGATAAGCTGGATCTTGAAGGAGAGTCAGGAAAAAGATTAAGGCCTGGGGTACAGCATTGGCAAAGGCTTGGCAGTGACCTGGGAGATGGTGAGAAGAGAGGCCTAAGAATGGGAAGTGAGGTTGGGTAAAACAAGATTACGGAGTCTTTTAAATGCCAGGCCAAAGATTTGAGGCTTCATCCTTAGGTAATTGGGAAGCCATATTTCAGGCCTGGAATCTTGCTCTAGAGAGTAAGACATGTTCGAAGGGAGAAGGGAGGGAACTGGAGACCAGGCCTTTTCTGGACCTGTTTTCCATCTGGAGAATTGGACTTAACTGTTTCAAGGACTTTAGAATAGATATCCACATGCTGAAATGTCAGAGCTGGCAGGACCCTTAGAATCACCCCTGTCTAACCCCTTATCCTGAATAACGGGAAACTGAGGTCTGAGGGAAAGGAGGGGCTGGCCCTAGTTTGCACAGCGAGTGAGCAGAGCTGGGGTCTCCATACCAGGTTTCCTGCCTCCCAGGCCTTCCTCTTCCTGCTATGATGCTGAAACGATCACACTTCTGGGGGCCCATGAAACAGGATTTGAATGTGGGTCTAGGAGGAGGCCACTACCCCAGGCTTCACCATGCTTTGAAGAGTCACTTTTGCTGTTGGAATCGAGGTTAACAAACCAGGCTAATCTTTCCCCTAGTGAATATATTTAAAGAGCATGCTAGATAGTAATGAATCATCCACTCCACCCCCCATAAGGATGGGGTCCCAGTGAGAGATGGGAGGAGGGCCAGCCCTGGATGGGGGGACCTCCTCGGTTCCTTCTAGCTCTTAGAGGGCTTAGAGCCCTTCCAGCTTTTCTGATGAGGTTGGACTAAGATTGATTTCAAAACAGTGAAAATTAGGTAGAGCTGGAGCATTCTAAATAATTGATTTCTGACATGTGTAAAGGACACTCTGGTTCTCCCATGAAGCTTTTCTTCTCACCAAACTTCCTCATCTCCTCTTCCTCACCTCCTACCCACCCATCAGCTCAGTGTGCTCTCACCCTGTCCCTACTCCTCCACCGTGGCCATCAGAGCCCTCCTTGTTGTCAAAGCCAAGGAGGTTTCATAGTGCCCACCTCCCTGGCCCTCTTGGCTGGACTGGGCACGACTGCTCACCCTTCCTTGACCGACTCTCCCAGCTTCCCTTCTGCTGCTCCGGCCATTGCTCTTCTATTTGCTGTATGGGCTTGTCTTCTAGCCTACCCCAAAATACTAGGGTTCCTCAGGGCTTTGTCCCGAGCCCTCTTCACACACTGCCCTATCCTTGGTGACCCCATCCTCATGCACTCTAAGGAACCATCTACCATGTTCCTAGTACCAGGCAAGGTGCTTTGCAGAAACGTGCATTTTTTTTTCCCTCAAGATACCCCTGTAAGGCTGGTCCGATTTCCTTTCCTGTTTTTTTGTTTGTTGGCTTTTGTTTTGTTTTGAGATAGAGTCTCACCCATTCACCCAGGCTGGAGTGCAATAGTGCTCTCTTAGCTCACTGCAACCTCCGCCTCCCAGGTTCAAGCGATCCTCCTGCCTCAGCCTCCCAAGTAGCTGGGGCTACAAGGCGCACGTCACCGCACCCAGCTAATTTTTTCAGAGAAAATTATTTAAACTCTTGTGCCTCATCTGTTAAATGGATTTTTTAGTCTTTTTTTTGGTTTGTTTTTTTCTCTAAGAGATGGAGTCTCGCTCTGTTGCCCAGACTGGAGTGCAGTGGCACAATCTTGGCTCACTGCAATCTCCGCCTCCCAGGTTCAAGCTATTCTCCTGCCTCAGCCTCCCGAGTAGCTAGGACTGCAGGCATGCACCACCAAGCCCAGCTAATTTTTTTGTGTGTATTTTTAATAGAGATTTCACCAGGTTGGCCAGGCTGGTCTTGAACTCCTGGCCTCAAATGTACCTCCTGCCTCGGCCTCCCAGTGTGCTGGGATTACAGGCATGAGCCACTGCGCCCAGCCAGTTTTTAAAATTTGTTTGTTTAATAGAGCTAGGGTTTTGCCATGTTGCCCAGGCTGGTCTTGAACTCCTGTACTCAAGCTATCCACCCACCTCGGCCTCCCAAGTGATGGCACTACAGGCGTGAGCCACTGAGCCCGGCCTCCTTCCCGTTTTACAGATAAGCAAACTGACACAGAGCTGTCCCATGGTTTAAACAAAGTCACACAGCTGGGAATGGGCAAAGCAAGGATTCAAACTCAGATCCATCAGACACCCAAGTCTGAGGGCCTCACACTGCCCCGTGGTGTCAGCTGAGAAGAGCTCAAAGTGTGACTCCCTGTTGGGGTCACTCAGATTATACAAAGCATACATAAGCCTCCCACCATGTGGCCTACACACTCTTACCAGCACACATCTTCTTTGCCCTTGGGAGAGAGTTGCTAACGCCCAAGAGCCTCATCAATAAAAATCAGGGTCACCACCTGCGACAGGTCACCTACTCCCAAGGCTCTACGTCCTATCGATAAACAGGGCCTTTGAACAACGTCAAAGACAGCACCTGAGTGAGGTGAGGGAGGTCAATGGTTAATGTCAAACACACTTTGTTGCCTCAGGGCTCAGAGCAGGTCCCCAGTAGAGGAGCCAAGTCTGGGTCTTCACCTGGTACAGGGTCTCACTCGGGGAACAGAACAAACCGCCCCCCCCCCCGGGTTCCTGAACACACGTGTGTGGTGTGATTTGAGAAAGAACGTGGTTCTTGTCTTGGGTTCGAATCCTACCCTGCCAGTGCACCAGCTGAGTACCCTCCGGCAAGTCACTTGTAAAAAGGGACCAATAGCCTGGCACAGTGGCTCATGCCTGTAATCCCAGAGCTTTGGGAGGCCGAGGTGGAAGGATCACATGAGGCCAAGAGTTCAAAACCAGCCTGGGCAACATGGCAAAACCCCAGTTCTACAGAAAACAAAATACACACACACACACACACACACACACACACACACACACACATTTTATATTTTTTTTTTCTTTTTTTTTTTAATGAAGTCTGTCTCTGTCACTGAGGCTGGAGTGCAGTGGCATGATCTCAGTTCACTGCAACCTCTGCCTCCCAGGTTCATCAAGCAATTCTCCTGCCTTGGCCTCCCGAGTAGTTGAGACTACAAAAAATATTTTTAAAAAAGAAAAACTGGCCAGCCGTGGTGGCTCATGCCTGTAATCCCAACCCTTTGGGAGGCCAAGGCGAGTGGATCACCTGAGGTCAGGAGTTCGAGACCACCTTGGCCAACTTGGCAAAACCCTGTCTCTACTAAAAATACAAAAATTAGCGGGGTGTGTTGGTATGCGCCTGTAATCCCAGCTACTCAGGAGGCTGAGACAGGAGAATTGCTTAAACCCGGGAGGCAGAGGTTGCAGTGAGCTGAGATCGCACCATTGCACTCCATCCAGCCTGGGCGTCAGAGTGAGTCTCCATCTCAAAAAAAAAAAAAAGGTCAGGCATGTTGGCTCATGCCTGTAATCCCAGCACTTAGGGAGGCCAAGGTGGGTGGATCACCTGAGGACAGGAGTTTGAAACCAGCCTGACCAACATGGTGAAACCCCATCTGTACTAAAAATACAAAAAATTAGCTGGGCGTGGTGGCAGGCACCTGTAATCCCAGCTACTCAGGAGGCTGAGGCAGGAGAATCGCTTGAATCCCGGAGGCAGAGGTTGTAGTGAACCGAGATCACACCATTGCAGTGCAACCTGGACAACAAGGCTCAAAAAAAAAAAAAAAATTCCTCACTTGCATCCCACCCTGAGCTAGTGGTCACGACTGCTCCTCACGTGGGACTGCATTTCTAAAGCATTGCCAGAACCCTCCACCAGAGCCCAGTGAATAGATGACCCAGAAAAGGCACATCCTGGTTTTTTTGTTTTTTTGTTTTTTGTTTTTCCACTCATGGATACTCTGAGACACTTACTCTGAGCTGCTGAGAAGTCTGGACACCAAGGGACATATTACAAAGGAGACGTGATGTTGTTCTGGAGAGATGGCATTTGCAATGTTGGCATGGTTACCATCTTGAGCTGGAGCAGCCGCCTGTCCACAAATTATTAATAATGTCACCCAGATAGGATTTTAACTTTTTCTCCCACTGTAGGCCACCTGCAGCCAAGGTGACCTTGCCGACCCAGCCAATGATAATAAAACCACCAGCAATAACATCGACAGCGGCTCTTGTTTTTTTTTTTGTTTTTTGTTTTTTTTTAAGACGGAGTTTTGCTCTTGTTGCCCGGGCTGGAGTGCAATGGCGCGATCTCGGTTCCCCACAACCTCCGCCTCCCAGGTTCAAGCAATTCTCCTGCCTCAGCCTCCAGAGTAGCTGAGATTACAGGCATGCACCACCATGCTCCGCTAATTTTGTATTTTTAGTAGAGACAGGGTTTCTCCATGTTGAGGCTGGTCTCAAACTCCTGACCTCAGGTGATCCGCCTGCCTCAGCCTCCCAAAGTGCTGGGATTACAGGCGTGAGCCACTGCGCCCGGCTCGACTCTTGTTTTTTAATCACTTACCCTCTGCCTGATTTGAGGATGAACACTTTACTCTCATATTATCTCCCCACATCCTCACTCGGAAGGAGGCTGTTAGCCCCACTATATGTATGAGGAAACTGAGGCCTAGAAGAGTCAGATTCTTGCAATCATCTGAAGCCTTCCCCACTCACCCCAACTTTGCACCATCTACTTTGACCCCAGTATCCTTTTGCTGACACCAAATCTCACCCCGTGTCTTAACTAAGAGCATCTTGAGCGCAGAGATTTCAGGATCATCTAGAGCCTTCCATCCCTCTTTCAAAGCGCGCCTTGGAAGCAAACCAGCATCCAAGGCAGCTTTTGGCATTAAGAAGTGCAAAAATGTCCTGTTAGCTGCAATCTGTGAGCTGGTTCTATGAGCTGGTGGAGCTCAGAGCCCCAGTCCCAGCACCCGCCCCCCTCCAGCTTGTTCAGAGGAGCTCAGCTCTGGGGGAGAGCTCAAAGCCGACACCTATTGAGTTGCAGTTAAAATGAGGGCGAAAAAGGCTTTTGTTTCAGTTCTGCAGATGGTCTGGGAGTTTGTGTTTCTTAGCAAGAATTTTCTAGACGTTTTGGCTTGAACCATCTGAAAAACTGCCTCAAGCTTTTGCATGGTTCCCACTGGGTGGGCTGGGTTGGGAGGGGCTGTCGTGCATGGTCCGGGAAAGCTGGAGAAGGCTGTTCCTTCACCCCGAGCCTTGGATTTCTTATCTGTGAAATGGGAGGCTGCAATGATGAATGGCAAAGTACCTTTTTTTTTCAGCTCTGAAAGTCTAGGATATTTTGCCACTGGAAGACCAGCAGACAATGTCATGACAACTCAAGAGGATACAACAGGGCTGCATCAAAAGACAAGTCTTTGGACCATGTCAAGACCTGGAGCGAAGAAGGTAATGAACTCCTACTTCATAGCAGGCTGTGGGCCAGCAGTTTGCTACTACGCTGTCTCTTGGTTAAGGCAAGGTCAGTATTATTGTTTTGATTTTACAGATGAGGAAACTGAGTCCCAGGGAGGTTAAGTGTCTTGCCCAGCCACAGCACAGAGAGCAGGGGCTCTGCTCCATCTTCACCATTCTTCCCACCACTGCCCCTGACCTTCAGAGAGTCTGAGAACATTCTTGTAGCTGTTGAGCTATGAGCATAACTGTCATCAGCTGCTGCTGAAACTGTACCCTGAGAAGCAAGGGAGAGGGTCACTGAATTTTCACCATGGTTCTCTGCCAGGCAACTATGCTAAAAAACATCTTTTCCTCCCCAGTATGTTAGTAGGAGGCAAGCAGATTGTTATAGCCTTCTGTCTTCTTGTAGATAATGGTGGCAGGCTGGCCCTGACTCAGGAGATAAAGGGATCTGAGAGGACCACAGCCACATGAGAAGGCCAACTCCTGTAGGAGGCTGGCTGGCTTCTGCAGAGACAGCACTGAGCTGCCCCTGGGGTCGTGGGTAGGATCCATTCCCTCGTTAAAGATATAACTTCCTCTACCTGGCCCTTCATAACCTGCCCGTGGCCCATCTTCTCAAGGTCATCACCCACTCCCTGGACACATTAGGCCCACCAGGTTCCCAGATTCTGCCCATGAGTTTCCAGAATGTCCTTTCCCATCCCTCCACCCCATTCTCTTCTTCTTACATTCCTTTAATACCCAGCCGAAATCTTACCTCCCCTAAAGAGCCTTCCCAGTTTCTCCAACAAGAAGTACTCTCGCCTTCCACCTACTCCCACTGTGACTCTGGTATCCACTGTCTGCCTAGAGTGACATTGGTAGGAATGTCTGTGGCTTGCTACTGGGCATCAAGCACTTTGTTATGTCATTTAATGCAGTATAAGATCTCATTTAATATGGGAGCTATTCTTCTTACACCCATTAAACAGATGGAAAAATTAAAGCTCAGGAAGGCATCCTCTTACCCAAAGTCATGCTGCTATTAGATGAAGAATTAGGATTTGAACCCAGGTCTTTCTGACTATAAGGTTCACACTCTTTGTTACTTATACCTTCTGCTTCCCACTTCCTTAGGAAGCAGCCATTTCCTTTGTAATAGACTGTAAGCACTGGAGAATGGGGCCTGTGTTTCATTCACCATCTGAGTCCCTGGGATGCCTGGCTGAGTGTCCTGGATCCAGGCGCTGCTCCATGAATGCTGAATTGAATTTGGTTACACCTTCTGCGTATTACAAAACTCCCATCACCAGAGCCCCCTTTGTGAATGGCCAAGATCTTTGGTCCTCTCCCCTTCCACCCCAGGAAGGGGAACACCTGAAATCAGCTGACAGCTAACATTAAGTGACAGCTGAGTGAAAGGCAAGAAGAGGGAGGGAGCAAGGGGGAAGGCAGGCAGGATTGCAGAAGCCGGGAGGGAGCTCAGAGGAGGAGGAGGGCTGTCCTGCTGAATCTGGCCAGCTTGCAGTTACTTAGAGTACAAGATCTGGAGTTACCAGACCCAGCCTCAAATCCTAGCTCTTCCATAGTAACTGGGGAAACCTGGGCAAGTTGTTGGACCTGAGTTTCAGTTTTCTTTTCCATAAAATGGGCATGTCAGGGTGAGTGGGCGGTGCAGTGGGGGGAGAATAAAAAGGGCATGTCCCTGTCCTCACTAGACCTCTTCATTCAGGAGGAATGAGGTTGTGTCTGAGGGAGGGAGGGAGTGCTGCCTACGGGGATGTTACCTACTTGAAATGGGGACAGTTGGAGGACCAGCACAACCTGAAATGGCTTCCCCATGAAGTCATTGAGCCCTGAAGGCCTGGGGCAGCAGGGAACTCACAGAATCACAGACCCATAATAAAGATCTTGGAGACAATTCAGTTTGGCTTTCTTACTCCAAGAGGCAGCACAGCATGGTGGACTGATGGGAAGCTCTGCCAGCAACGGGTTGTTCCCAAATCCTGGGCCCCACTTGCTAATTGTGTAGCCTTGTGCATGCCACTTTGTCGGTCTCAGACCGCTGGTTCCTTATCTTTTTTTTTTTTTTTTTTTGAGACAGTGTCTCGCATGTTGCCCAGGCTGGAGTACAGTGGCGTGATTTCAGCTCACTGCAAACTCCGCCTCCCAGATTCAAGCAATTCTCTTGCCCCAGCCTCCTGAGTAGCTGGGATTACAGGCACGTACCACCATGCCTGGCTAATTTTTGTGTTTTTTGTATGGACGTGGTCTCACCATGTTGGCTAGGCTGGTCTTGAACTCCTGACCTCAAGTGATCCACCTGCCTCAGCCTCCCAAAGTGCTGGGATTACAGGCGTGAGCCATCGCGCCTGTCCGGGTTCTTCATTTTTAATATGAAATTCAAAGTAGTTCCTTTGCCACAGCACTACTGGGAGGATCAGAGACCCAGACAATAACAGCTGGTCATTCGCTGGCCCTGTGGGAACTGAGGCTCAGAGAGGGAAAGTAATTCACCCATGGTCACACAGCAGGTTAGCGAAATCAAGCCTATGCCCAGGCCTCCCAAAGCCCAACCCTGGGCTAATCATCAGACAGCTGTGGCCTTATCACAAAGAAGGCTGAGACTACCCTTGAACATGCAGCCAAGGAACTCATACTGGGAATCACTGGTGGGATTCCGTATCTCACTGAGCTGAAATAATTGCTTGGGTTGCCTGTGGATGGAGTATGGCAAAAAGCCCAAGTCAGAGCCTAGGGTCACATGTCCAACCTGGGGTCTAATCCACAGTATAACCCTGGCCATGTCGGGTCACCTCTCTGACCTCTCTGAGCCTCAGTATATTCTCTGCTTACAAAATGGGAGCAAGAATTCCTGGCAGTGCAAAGGAATCATGTAAGACACAGACTATTTCTTTTCTTTTCCTTTCTCTCTCTCTCTCTCTTTCTTTTTCTTTCCTTCCTTCCATCCTTACTTCCCTTTCTTTTCTTTCCTTTCCTTCCTTTTTTTTTTTTTTTTTTTTTAGACAAGGTCTTCCTGGGTCACCCAGGCTGAGTGCAGTGGTGCAATCCTGGCTCACTGCAGCCTTGACCTCCTGGACTCAAGTGATCCTCCCACTTCAGCCTCCCAAGTAGTTGGGACTGACTACAGGTGTGCACCACTACGCCTGGCTAATTTTCTATTTTTTGTAGAGACAGGGTCTCAGTATGTTGCCTTGGCTGGTATTGAACTCCTAGATGCAAGTGATCCTCTCGCCTCAGCCTCCCAAAGTGCTGGGATTACAGGTGTGAGCCACCATGTGTGGCCCAGAGCTATTTTCACAGCAGCTACCCATGAGCTCCCACTGGGCACCTCACTATGCATCCAGCCTGTGCTGTCACTAGCAATGGCTTCATTTAGTCCTCACAACAGCCCTGCGTGGTGGGAACCTAATTTGTAGATAAATGTCTACGAACAGGTAGAACCAGGATCCGACCTCGAAAGGTATTCTCTATGTCTATTCTCTCACCCCTCCTCTTTCCCTACCTAACTTGGGCTTCTTCTTCAGGTTTCAGTATCAACCTGACTTCTTTTGGAAGGATCCCTTGGCCTCACGCTGGAGTGGGCACCTGCCCTAGCCCACAGAGCTGGATTTCTCCCTTTCTTCAATCACACAGGGAGCACCACTATGCAAAGACCTCATCACATTCACAGCCGTCTCCGCAGAGCCTCGCACTGTGCTTGGCATATAGCAGGTGCTCAATAAATATCTGCCAAATGACTGAATGCATCTCGCTAGCCTCAGGATGCCACCAGGCCCTGAGGGAGCCAGGAAGATCAGAGGAAAGCTTTTGGATTCCTGCCACACCTTACATTAGCAACATCTTCTCCGAGTCCTGACAGCCAGCCTCCTGGGACACCATTCAAGCCAGCTGAATTCCGGTCACCGCTTCACCTTGGAAAGGCATCCGCAGCCCTCACCAAGCGGCCCCGTAATTGACGTCACAGCGGGGCCAGGAGCTGCCCTGTTAATATTTAATGTGGCCTTCACTGCGCAAAATGCAGCCTCTAAGAGCTGGAGGGGCCGTGCAGAGTCTCCATGGGGTTGTGAGGAGGGCACAGAAGGGAAAGGGCTTTATAAACCATAAAGCGCCCAACAGATGAGCATTCTGCCGACCCATTTCAGTCCCTGGCTTAACTCAGAAAGAGCCGGGGCTGCACATGCCTGCAGTGGGACAAGAAGACTGCTGACCAAGCCCGAACACTAAATCAATGGGGGATTAGGGGCTCCTGGGTACATTCCATTGAGACAGCGGGAGAGCAGAGCACTGGTGCCAGCCCAACCTGGACTCCACTCCAGGTTTGCCCCCTGCACAGCTGTGTGACTGGGTCAGCAAGTGCACTGCTGAGCCTCAGTCCCCCTTATCTGTGAAATGGGAATGATGCTTTCCTTGTAGCACTGCTGTGAAGATTCAATGAAACGAGTGATGCCGAAGACCTAGCTTCACCCATCGCAGGCTGTCAACACAGGCTGAGACCCTTCTCCAAAACCAGGCCTGGGACCTGAGGTTGGAGAGAGGAGACACGGGGTCCCTTCAGGCATTCACTGGGCAGAGTGATGGTGGGAGGGAAGAAGGAGCAAGGAGGCACAGGAAGGATGACCTGGGAGCCAAGCATCTCAGGTTTGGACTTTTCACCCTGGTGGGCCCACGCCAGGAGAGGTATCAGAGAGAGGATGGGTGGAGGGCCCCAGGATGGCAGAAGCAGAAGGGCCCTCATGGACAATCTCTCTGATCATCTGACCCCTTTGTTTGGCAGATGAGCATCTGGGAGGGAGTAAACCATGCCAGGGGCTCACATGGCACAGCTGGGGTCTGACTGGCCTGCAGCCCTCTGGGGCTTCATCAGCTAGGGTTTATCCAAGGCCACATGCCTAGTCCGGGAGGCAGATGTGTTGGAAGACATGATGCAATGGCCCCATTCCTGGTGGTGACCTCCACTTCTTTGGCCAGGACAATAGGAGGAACCTCATCCCCCGCCCCTTCCTGGTCTCCCTCCAGTCTATTTTCCCACGAATCCTGGGAGCTTCCCAAAACGTAAATCTGACCTTGTCCTCGCCCTGCTTAAAACCTTTCCATGATCCCACACTTAAGGTCTCCAGAGAAAATACAGGAGGCTCAGTTAAAACTGAATTTCAAGCTGGGTATGGTGGCACACACCCGTAGTGCTACTCAACAGGCTGAGGCAGGAAGATTGCTTGAGGCCAGGAGTTTGAGGCCAGCCTGGGCAACATAATGTGACCCTGTCTTAAAAACAAAACAAAACAAAAAGAAAAACAAAAAAACCCCTGAATTTCAGACAAACAATGAATAATATTTTAGTATAGGAATGTCCCAGAAATTGCATACACATACTACAGAAATTATTTGTTGTTCATATGAAATCCAAATTTAACAGGACAACCTGTATTTTAATTTGCTAAATCTGGTGTTCCTACATACATTGCCCTCAGGAAAAAGGACAAAGCCTTTTTTTTCTTCCTTTCTCTTTGAGACGGAGTCTCAAAAGCCTGTCGCCCAGGCTGGAGTGCAGTGACACCATCTCAGCTCACTGCAAGCTCTGCCTCCCAGGTTTAAGCGTTTCTCCTGCCTCAGCCTCTTGAGTAGCTGAGACTACAGGCATGCACCACCATGCCCAACTAATGTTTGTATTTATAGTGGAGACAGAATTTCACCATGTTAGCCAGGCTGGTCTCGAACTCCTGGCCTCAAGTGATCTGCTTGCCTTGGCCTCCCAAAGTGCTGGGATTACAGGTGTGAGCCACCGCGCCTGGCCAGGAAAAAGGACGAAGTCTTTAGTTAGCCCATGAGACCAGTTTGGCCCTGAGCTCATCCCTCCACTCTCTTCCACATGGACCCTCTGCTTTAGACACAGCTCATTGCCTTTACTTGAGAAACTCAAGCCCTCCCTCCCCTCTGTCCTTTGCAGATGTCCTTTCATTGGAACCCTCTTGGTATCATCTCCTCCTCCCAGTGCCCCACTGTGCTTGACCTGACTCATCCTCAGGCCTCTGAAGCATCATCACTTCAAGACCTGTGTTGTGTCTCCTCTGGATCCTCACAGTGCCTCTGTCTGTCCCGTTCACGTGGCGTATGTAGGGGTTCAGCAAACATTTGTTGCACTGAATTACTAAATTCCACAGCCGCTTATACTTTTCCTATCAACAGTTTCCCCTCCTTCAGCCAAATCCTATGTGCCCCTCAAAGCCCTGTTGGAACCCCATCTCCTCCAGGCCTTCCCTGAGCCCCACAGTCCTCCCAGCTCTTTTCTTCTGAGATGCATCTGGTATGTCTCAGTCACATCCGGGGCAGCAAGCAATCTTTTTATCCCATAAGCTTGGCAAGATCAGCAACCCTCAGACTCCCCAGCTATGACCTGTGGTGCTGAGCACTGTGCCTTCCTGCCAGACAGTGCTCAACAAACGCTGGTGAGCTTGGGGGAAGCCAAGCTGAGCTCCTGTGTTGGCCTCTCCTCCCTGCCACTGGCCAATAACCAAAATCCTAACCCAGCCTTGAAGCAAAGCATCTTACATCCTGTATTCCTATAAGGAGCCAGGGAGACATCCTTAGTTCCCACTTTACAGGACAGGAAACTAAGGGAGTAGAGGAACCCATTTGTATTAGCCAGGGTTCTCTAGAGGGACATAATTAATGGCATATATATATATATGTGTATATGTGTATATATATGTATATATATGGGTGTATGTATATATATGTGTGTATATATATATATAAAGGGGAGTTTATTACATATTAACTCACACGATCACAAGGTCCCACAATAGGCCGTCTGCAGGCTGAGGAGCAAGAAGAGCCAGTCCCAGTTTCAAAACTGAGGAACTTGGAGTCCGATGTTCGAGGGCAGGAAGCATCCAGCACATGAGAAAGATGTAGGCTGGGAGGCTAGACCAGTCTCTCTTTTACATTTTTTCTGCCTGTTTACATTCTAGCAGCACTGGCAGCTGATTAGATGGTGCCCACCCAGGTTAAAGGTGGGTCTGCCTTTCCCAGCCCACTGAGTCAAATGTTAATATCCTTTAGCAACACTCTCACAGACACACCCAGGATCAATACTTTGTATTCTTCAGTCCAATCAAGTTGACACTCAGTATCAACCATCACACCATTGTTCAAGGCTCAGGTCTCTGGATGCCATCCTAACCCAGGGTCTTTGCAGGTGCTTTTCCTCTGCCCGGAACACTCTTCCCAGAGATCTCGACATGGATGATGTCGCAGATTAAAGATGGCCACATAGGCCAGGCATGGTGGCTGACACCTGTAATCCCAGCACTTTGGGAGGCCAAGGCAGGAAGACAGCCCCAGGCATAAGTTCAAGACCAGTCTGGGCATCATAGTGAGACCCCCATTGCTACAAAAAATAAGAAAAAAATAGCCAGGCAGGGTGGCACACTCCTGTAGTCCCAGCTACTCAGGAGGCTCAGGTGGGAGGATCGCTTGAGATGAGGAGTTTGAGGATGCAGTGAACTATGATTGTGTTGCTATAGTCCTGCCTGGGCAACAGGGCAAGATAGCGTCTTGCTGGTGTTGTGGTGCATGCCTACTCAGGAGGCCAAGGCAGGAGGATTGTTTGAGCCTGGGAGCTTGAGGATGCAGTGAGCTATGATCGTGCCAGTGTACTCCAGCGTGGGCAATGGAGTGAGACCCTGTCTCAAAAAATTAAAAAAAAAAGATTTCATACTAATCACAACTTTGGTACACCTCGAAATCATTTTTGTTACTCTCTGCAATATGGATCATGTCTCTTTTTATATAAAATATAATATGTATACATTTATAAATTTATAAAATACAAAGATGGAGTTTCACCATGTTGGCCAGGCTGGTCTTGAACTCCTGGCCTCAAATGATCTGCCCACCCTGGCCTCCCAAAGTTCTGGGATTACAGGTGTGAGCCTCCACGCCCGGCTGATCATGTCTCATAAATAAGGCCACAAATACTTTGCTGCTCCCCTCACATCAAGAAGTGGCATCCCTTTCCTTGCCCTTTGGATCTGGGCTGGGCTTGTGACTTGCTCTGACAACAGAATGTGGCAGAAGTGACCCTTTATGAGTTCAGGAGCTTAGGCCGCAAGAGATCTTGCAAGCTTGTGCCTTCCCCCTCTTGGAATGCTGCTCCTAGACCACCACATAAGGCAGCTGGTCTACCAGCGGGAGGATGGGAGGCCACGTGATAGGGATCTGAGACACCCCAGCCAACAGCCAGCACCAACCACCAGATGTGTGTGAGAGGCCTTCTTGGACCTTCCAGCTCAGCTGTGACTCCAGCTGAATGCAGCTGCATGTGTGACCAGGAGAAACGGGCAGAGGAACCACTCAGGCCAGCCAGACTCATAAAAAATAACAAATGGTTGTTGTAAGCCACTAGGTTTGGGGGTTTGTTAGGTGGCTATAGATAACCAAGACAACTGCCTCCTCCTCATTCAGGTGCCTGCTCCCTTCCCCTTCAGTCCCTTCCCTCCCCCCTCAAACCCCCACCAATTGCTGTTTATGCCGTTATCCTGTTTCATCCTGTCCAAGGCATTTATCACTGTCTGAAACCATGATGTATTCACTTATGGACCTGCAGTGCATTTCCGCCACGAGGCTGCAGTTTCCATGAGGGCAGGGGCCAGAATGGTTTGTTCCCTACCATCTCCCTTGAGCCTGTGTGTGTGGTGTCTGGCACAGAGAAGCTGTGTAATTGTTGATGGAGAGATTGTGTGCCTGCCCCTTGCTGCTGTGGTGCTTGGGGGAGCAGCGTGGCAGGTGGGAACTCCTGCCTGGTTGTGTCTTCCAAAACCGGTGCCCTTGGGAGGGCAGGAGGGCAGGCCAGGTGTCTGGGCTGTGTTTCAGGGGCAAGAGCTTCAGGGAGCCCAAGTTGAGTAGGAAGAAAAGGAAACTGCCAAAATGTTCATTTTCAGCAGGGGCTTAGATTCAGGCCAAGGAAGTTACTGGGGCTTCTCTCCACCAGGTCAGCTGCAAATTACCAGCAGCCCAGCCACGCCCTTCTGTAAGATCACCAAGCTGAGAAACTGGGCAATGGGAGAGAGTGTTGGGGACACTGAGTCACTTCCCAGGGGCCAACTATTTCCAAGTCCCTCAGAGTCCTCAGAGTCTGCTTTTTCCAGTGCCAAGGAATTGGTCCAGTAGCCACAGCTTCAGTTGAGGAAAAAATGCATACCCAAGAGAAAAAGAATCAGCTCCAGGGTGCCTTTTTCTTTTCTTTTCTTTTTTTTTTTTTTTTTGAGACGGAGTCTCATTCTGTCACCCAAGCTTGAGTGCAGTGGCGTGATCTCAGCTTACTGCAACCTCCGCCTCCCGGGTTCAAGGGATTCTCCTGCCTCAGCCTCCTGAGTAACTGGGATTACAGGCATGCACCACCACTCCTGGCTAATTTTTGTATTTTTAGTAGAGACAGGATTTCACCATGTTGGTCAGGCTGGTCTCGAACTCCTGACCTTGTGATCCACCCATCTCAGCCTACCAAACTGCTGGGATTACAGGAGTGATTCCAGGTGCCTCTTTTAGCTATCATTCTGCATTCTGTGGGAACAGAGAGAGCATCACCGTAGTTCAAGCCAGGCTCCTTTAGGTTAGGTGGACTTGTGTTGGTATTATGTCTCCATGACTGTGTGACCTTGGGGATGCGGCTTGACCTTCCTGAGCACCAGTTTCTGCATCTATTAGGAGTGGACAGTGAAGACCGAACTCCTAAGGTTGTGATGAGAATTCAATGAGAACATGCATGCCCAGCACAGCTTCAAGCACACAGAAACAGTAAAACCGATTGCAGGTAAGCTTGTGAGTACTTCTTCACCTGTTGGCAAATGGGGGTTGAGGGGAAGAGCAAGGTTTGCAGTTAAAAACAGACCCTTCCTGGAGACCAGGGTCACATTGAGGGGTTGCCTGGCTGAGACTAGGGCTATGGTATGAACCCTTGGTCCACAACGGACTGCCTGATTCTAACTGGCTTCTGTAACAGAGGAGACCACTCAGAGAAGCCCTCAGAGGGCCTCCAACCCTCCTGGAACCCCCCTGGTATAGATAGGTCAGTGGTTTGGAAGGTAGACCTCTGACAAGGATTCAGAAGGCCTGGGTTAAAGGCCCGGCTCTGGCACTAATGTGCTGTGTGTCATGGAACAAATAATTTGCCTTCTCTGGGCTCTAGTGTCCTCATCTATAAAATGGGTCATTAATCTCTGACTTACCGAACTCATAGGGTTGTTGAGATGATGAGATAATTTAGATGAAAGACTGCTTTGAAATGCATTTGCTGTTTGGTGAATAAAAAGGGGATAGATATTAAAACTGAGAGGACCCCTGGATTCTCTAGCAAAGCCCCTCTAAAGCCTTTAAACCAGGCAATATAAATACGAGTTCAAACCCTGGCCTTTATTAGTAACTTGCACGACTTTGGGCGAATGAGTTAAACTCTGGCACTGCTAGTGGTGTGATTTTTCTTCTGAGGGAGACAGGACCCATGGAGCAAGAAAAGGCTGGAAGAAGCTGCAAGATACAGGGTAGACAAGATGAGGAGGAGAAGCCCGCCAGCCTCCAAAACCCCTGGGCAACTGGTGGCGGGGAGGTTCCCACCTGACTGTGAGCTTAGGTGGGGGCTACCTGTTCCCCTTTCCATCCCCCACAGGCAGTTCTCTGGATCTCAGCCCACCCCAGGTAGATGGTGACTCAAGTTGTTCTGCAGAGACTGGTCCCCCTGCCTCTGTTGCCATGGCACTGCAGCACAGCCTGGCCAATCAGGAAGGAGATGAGTATCTGAGTCTCTGTTGCTAAAGCTGGAGCAGGACACCTAGCCAATGGGAAGGGCAGCAGAGTGGAGCCACCATGGAAACCTAAGCAGTGAGGTTCAAACCATGTTTTTTGTCTCTATGTCTCATTTTCAGGGGGTGGGCTGGGTTTTCTGCATTCCTTTTTTTTTTTTTTTTTTTGCAAAGAGCATCTTGCAACCCCAGGAGGATATTCAGGAGTCACGACTGGGTGCATGACAAGAGGCATCTTTAAAGAGTCAGAAAGGACTCCAACTCAGCAGGGCACAGCTTCAGATGAATTATTCCCCCAGATGCTCAGCATCACCTGTGTCTATGATCTTAGCTCATCGCCACAGCTCTACCTAGCCCCACTGTCCTAGGAAATAACTGCAGGCTGCAGAAGAATCCCCACCCCCAAAGTAAGAAAAGGAATGTGGGGTCACCTCCTTATGCCCAATAGCTTTGTGGCTTTGGACAAACTCCTTAACCTCTCTTCCTGTAGGCAAGGTAGTAGAGTAGCATAGAGACATGGGTCAGACACGGGGGCTGCCCCAGTGTAAAATTAGAAGATTGGGAAAATGGGCTCTGTGATTCCTTTCAGATCTCACATTCTAGACTTGATGATTTTTCACCTTCAGGCTCTGGATAAAGTGGATCTACAAGAAATAACTTCCCAAGGAGGAGTCCTGTAAATAGCATGAGTGGACAAATACGACTCAGGCTGCTTTTTGCCATGAAATTGCCAGACAAGGAGGGATGTCTGTTTCAGAGTCCTGGGCCAGGGGAGTGAAATCACACAGTTACCTGCATGCAGAGCCCAGAGTAGAAGACCTAGCTCCCTTTACCCTGCAACATGCAATCTTCTTAAACCAGTCTTCTTATCCTTGGGTGGGCAGTCAGGGAGCTGTGCACGCCCACACCTCCAACACCCTTTATTTTGCAAACATGGGCATAAAAACAACTGCAAGGGAAAATGTGTCCCACCCCTTCCCCACTCCCTTCTGGCTTTCTCTCTGTTGCCTGGCAACAGTTTTATCCAGAAACCTGGGTGTCATCCTAGATAACTCCCTCACCCTTATCCTTCCCACAAAACCCATGGCCCAATCATGTCCATTTTATCTCCTAAATGGCCCTCAAGTCCATCCACTCCTCCCCTCCCCCCATCACCTCCCCAGTCCAAGGTTCCATCATGAATTTCCTGGACATCTACATTGGCTTCCCACAGGCCTCCGGCTTTCACACTTGCTCATCCCATCCCCCGCTTCCATCTTCTGTAACCACAGCCAAAATAATCTCTTAAAAATACAAATCTGATCCTGTCACCTGCTCCTTGCTTAGAACCTCTAAGAATCAAAATCAAAATCTTCAGCATGCCCAAGAGCACTGCATGGTCAGGCCTACTTCCCAACTTTATCTTGCCCTGTGCGTGCCCTTCCCTCTCTTCCTGAACATTTTTTCCTCCCCAATTCTTCTACTTAATCCTGCTTACCCTGTAGTTCTCAGTTCTATGGTCACTTGGAGAGCCTTTGCTGACCTTCATGACTAGGTCAGATTGCCCTGTGATGGACTCTCCTAGCACCATGTGCCCTTTATGTCTGTAGCACTTATCATTGTCACAATTTTACCCTTATTTACTATTATTTGATTTATATCTGCAAGCCCTGCCTCACTCAATTTAAGCTTCATGAATGCAGTGATTTTGTCTTGTTCTCTGCTTGAAACATGGATGGATGGATGGATGGATGGATGGATGGATGGGTGGATGGATGGATGTTTGGATGAACATGAGTTGGATGAGTAGGTGTATGGATGGATGGGTATATGGATGAATGAATGTTTGGATGTACAGGAATTAGATAAATAGATACATGGATGGATGGGTATATAGACGGATGAGTGAGTGTATGTATGTATGTATGGATGGATGCATGCATGCATGAATGGATGGATGGGTAGATAGATGGATAGGTGGATGTTTGGATGAACAGAAGTTGGATAAATAGGTGGATGGATGGATGGACAAGAATTTGATCAATAGGTATATGTATAGATGCATGAATGGATAGATGGATGTATATATGGATGGATGGATGGATGGATGGATGGATGGATGGATGGATGGATGTTTGGATGAACACGAGTTGGATGAGTAGGTGTATGGATGGATGGGTATATGGATGAATGAATGTTTGGAATCAAGCGATTCTCGTGCCTCAGCCTCTCGAGTAGCTGGGATTACAGGCATGAGCCACCACACCTGGCTAATTTTTGTATTCTTAGTAGAGATGGGGTTTCCCCATGTTGGCCAGGCTGGTCTCAAACTCCTGACCTCAGGTGATCCTCCCGCCTCGGCCTCCCAAAGTGCTGGGATTACAGGCGTGAGCCACCGCACACGGCCTCATAAACTGTTTTTCTCTGTGAGTCTCTTCCTCTCCACCAGAGAGTGGCATTCCTTATTCCCCAGGAATTAGTAAACTCCCTGGAGACAGATGTGCCAGGAATGTGCCCACATCTCACAAAATGCCCTTTTGTGGCCTGGGCACCCCTTCTTTCTTTTATTTTTGAAACAGGGTCTCACTCTGTCACCCAGGCTGGGGTGCAGTGGCACGATCTTGGCTCACTGCAGCTGACTTCCTGGACTCAAGCAATTCTCCCACCTCAGCCTTCCGAGTAGCTGAGATTTCAGGCACATGCCACTATGCCCAGCTAGTTTATTATTAATAGTAGCGGTAGAGACGAGGCCTCACTATGTTGCCAAGGCTGGTCTCAAACTCCTGAGCTCAAGCAATCCTCCCATCTTGGCCTCCCAAAGCACTGGGATTACAGGCGTGAGCCACTGTGCCCGGCTGGCACCCCTTCTTTCAATCCTCACAGGACTCTGAGGGAGGCGTGATTTACCCCCATTTTAAACAGCAGGAAACTGATTTGCCCCGGGTCACACAGATAAAAAGTGGTAAAACTAGTGCTGAAACCCAGGTCGATTTGAATCCAAGGCCAAAATCCTTAACCAGTACCCGCAGGCGGGGATAGTCCCTCCAACAGCCCAAATATGGCTGCCACACCTGTGCCTGGCCACCATGGGTGGGGTAGCCCATTCTATTGTTGAATTCCTGCCTGTCAAAGAGTTTATTCTAACCCACTTGAAATATGCCCCTCTGAAACTGCTACCCAGTGACCCTGACTCTGCTCCCTGGTTACAGAACCAGTGCTTCCCCTCTTCCACATGGCAGCCCGTCAATAATTTACAGCCAGCCGTCCTGTCTCCCCTGCATCTGATCCTCTCCAGGGAGGGGTGGCAGAGGGGAGAGACTGCAAACCTGGAACTACAAAATCCAAGTTCTCATCCTGGCTCAGCCACTGTCCACAGACCAGTAAATTTCAAAAGAAAATTAAATAGGTGATTTTGACAAACAAGGACACTGAAAAAAATGGCCAACTCCTAGCACCCTTGTTTCATAAAAGAAAGGGCATCCTGACACAGAAAAAAGTAGGGCAGACAATTTCAGAATTAATTTATCTTCATAAAAACTCCCGACTTTGTCCCTGTTTCTCTGATTTCACCATGTCCTGGTGCTGACTCTGTGGGGGACTGGCCCAGGTCTGTAGGCCTTTGAGAACCTTTGCTCCAACCCATTAAAGAAAACACTGCTGGCCAGAAAAACCAAAGTAGAGGATTCCACCATCAGGACACGGTAAGTGACCCTGTTTGAAGAGGGAAGGAAGAGCTGAAAGTGCCTGGCACTGAGAAATGGCTGAGCTCAGGAAATGAGACAGACTTCTCCATTGCATTGTGGTTTCATATCCAGTTTCTATCTCAGCTTAGAGGGACAAAGGCTTTTCCTACTCCACGGGTACCCTGTGACCACCCAAGGTCACGTCTCTAGCCGGCAGAACTCACTGGAAGTCAAGAAGGCTGTTTCTGTCCCATGGCAGGAGGCCAGTGAGAAAGGCTGGTTTTATTCAAAGGCAGCAGATTTTCTCTTGGGGAAGTTTTGGGCTTGGTCTGAAGGATGACCGTCTAACCCAAAGGCTTTCTCATTACTCATTCATTCATTTATTATTTACGAGATATCTTCTATGTGCAAGGCACTGTTCTAACGTTAGGAGTACCAAGGTGAGCAAAGAATGATATGGTCTCTGTTCCTGTGGAGCTTAGTGTTGATTAGAAAAGGCTGACATTAATTCAAGTTGAAGGAATAAGTGTAAACTGACGGCTGTGATGAAGGCTACAGCAGAGGCACATGTTACTCTGAGAGTGTGATATAAGGAGGGTTCCCCTAGTCGGAGGTCATGGAAGGCTGAGATAGTAATGGCCGAGCTGAGATCGAAAGAAGGAAGAGTAGGCATTCACCAGGTGAAGATGGAGGGAAAGCATATTCCAGGGAGAGTGCTTGGTGTGGGATGAACATAAATCACATGAAGAACTGCAGTGAGGCTGGTACGACTGCAGGGCGGTGACCAACAGGAAAGAGCATGCAAGATGAGGCTGGAGAGGTAGGTGGAGGCTCACATGTTGCTGGATAGGTAGGTGGGGTTTTCTCCTTTTCTTGAGTGAAACAGGAAGCCACTGAAGGGCACTGAATGTGAAAAGTGGCGTAAGTATTATTACTTGAAGGCAGAGAGGAATCAACAGCTGCCTCTTCCAGGAGTCAAACTGATGATGATAGTGGTGGTAATAAAAATAATGATTGGCTGGGCGTGGTGGCTCCTGCCTGTGATCCCAGCACTTTGGGAGGGTGAGGTAGGCAGATCACCTAAGGTCAGGAATTTGAGACCAGCCTGGGCAATATGGCAAAACCCCGTCTCTACTAAAATACAAAAATTATCCAGGCATGGTGGTGCATGCCTGTAATCCCAGCTACTCACAAGGCTGAGGCAGGAGAATTGCTTGAGCCCGGGAGGCAGAGCTAGCAGTGAGCCGAGATCGTACCACTGCACTCCAGCCTGGGCGACAGAGCGAGACTCTGTCTCAAAAACAAAACAAAACAAAACAATAATGATTAAAAAATAATAAGTGGCTGGGCACAGGTGGCTCACACCTATAATCACTACACTTTGGGAGGCTGAGGCAGGAGCATTGCTCGAGCCCAGGAGTTTCAGGCTGCAGTGAGCTACGATCATGCCACTGTGCTCCAGCCTGGGTGACAGAGAGAGACCTTCTCTCTAAAATGAATAATAGTAATAATAGTAGTAATAATAATAATAATAAGAGAGCTCATGTTACTAGGCCGGGCACCTGTAATCCCAGCACTTTGGGAGGTTGAGGCGGGTGGATCACAAGGTCAGGAGATCCAGACCATCTTGGCTAACACAGTGAAACCCAGTCTCTACAAAAAATACACAAATTAGCCAGGCGTGGTGGCGGGCGCCTGTGGTCCCAGCTACTTGGGAGGCTGAGGCAGAAGAAATGCTTGAACCTTGGAGGTGGATGTTGCAGTGAGCTGAGATCGTGCCACTGCACTCCAGCCTGGGCAACAGAGCAAGACTCCGTCTCAAAAAAAAAAAAAAAAAAAAAAAGAGTTTGAGGGACAACAACTTCGAAGACACTTGGTTTGTAACTTAGGCCCTTAATCCATGTGGTTTGTTCTGTCAATAAGCATGCATGCATGGAGTGCCTGCTACGTGCTAGGCACACTGAGGCTACAGCAGGGACCAAAAACAGTCCCAGTGCTTACATTCCACTGAGCAGAAAAGACAATGCAGAAGCAGGCAGATAATGCAGAAAATTTTAGATGATGTTAAGGGCTATGGGGAAGAGACGAGAGGACACAGAGGTGCTGCTTTCTAGACAGGATGGTCAGGGAAGGCCTGAGAAGGCAACGAGTGACACCCACAATAAGGAACCAACCAAGCCACAATCTTGGGAAGAGGGTTCCAAGAAGAGGGGAGACATGCAAAGGCCCTGAAGCAAGGGCAACCTTGGGGTGTTCACGGAACAAAAAACAGGAAAAGCTGCATCATTCTGAGTAGGAGGAGATGAGACTGGAGAATGGAAACTTCTGGAAGCCCAGGCAGGCCTCACAGGGCCTTATGGGCCCTGGCAAGGAGTTGAGGTTTCATCCTGAAATGATGGGAAGTTGCTGAAGGATCCTCAAGCAGGGGAATGATACAACCTGTTCTATGTTTGTTTGTTTGTTTGAGACAGTCTCACTCTGTCCCCCAGGCTGGAGTATAGTGATGTGATCTCAGCTCACTGCAACCTCCACTTCCCGGGTTCCAGTGATTCTCTTGCCTCAGCCTCCTGAGTAGCTGGGACTATAGGCACGTGACACCATGCCTGGCTAATTTTTGTATTTTAGGTAGAGATGGGGTTTCGCCATGTTGGCCAGGCTGGACTTGAACTCCTGACCTCAGGTGATCTACCTGCCTTGGCCTCCCAAAGTGTTGGGATTACAGGCGTGAGCCACCACACCCGGCCTGTTCTGTATTTTAAAGAGGGCATGCTGTTGCTGTGAGAATATATTCCTGAAGGCGAAGGAGGGTGCAAGAGGACAGTTAACGTTGTGTCGCATCAGATGGAAGTGGAGATGGGGAGGGGGGTCAGATTACAATATATTTTTGCTAATGGGTTAGATGTGGGGGATGAGGGAAGGGGAAATATAGGATAATTCCAAGGCTTTCTGCCTGAATAACTGGGTAGATGATGGTACAGTTACTAAATCCGGGAAGACTGTGGGTGGAACAGGTTTGGGTGAGAGCTGGGGGTTGGGTGCAGAGCTAAATCAAGAGTTGTGTTTTAGACACATCAAGTTCACTGTTCTCTTAAATCTCTAATGAGAGGCCAAGAAGGCAACTGGACTGATAGGTTGGAATTCAGAGGTGGGATGGGCTAGAGATCTTGAGACTTGTGGGCATGTAGATGGTAATTAGGATCTCAGGATTGGGTCACTGGGGGAATGCAATGAAGAAAAGAGGTCCAGGAGACACAGATTGGGGTCTTCCAATGTGTGGAGACTGCACAGAGGCCAGCAAGGGAGGGTGAGATAGAAAGCCAATGGAGGAGGGCACCAGGAGAGCCCCAGCTCCACTGACCAACCTTGTAACCTCAGGCAAGTTGCTTCCCTTCTCTGGGCCTCAGTTTCCCCTATGTGGACAAGGGGATGGCCATATTCATCACTGAGGTGGTTCCAGCTTGATCATCCTGGGACACTCCTGAGAAAGAGCGGCAGCAGTTTCTGCAGCCACCTACCACAGGAAGAGATCAAAGCTCAGGCTCCCCCATCTCGTTTCCAGGACTCCTACAATGAAACTGAATGAAATCCCAAATACAACAAAACATAGCCCAAAGGTCGGCCACTCAGAGTTAGGGGCTGGGTAAGGTCATGGTGACCTGGAATAGAATCCAGCCTTTTTGTCACTTGCCAGATGGGTGACCCTCAAGCCTCAGGTACTTATCTGTAAAATGCAGCCAACAGGACCCACAGCAGGGGTCTGTTGTTAGAACTAAGCCAGGTATGGGTGGACACGGTGGCTCACACCTGTAATCCCAGCACTTTGGGGGGCCAAGGCAGGCAGATCACCTGAGGTCAGGAGCTCAAGACTAGCCTGGCCAACATGGTGAAACCCCATCTCTATTAAAAATACAAAAATTAGCTGGGCATGGTGGCGTGTGCCTGTAGTCCCAGCTACTTGGGAGGCTGAGGCGGGAGGATTACTTGAACCCGGGAGGCGGATGTTGCAGGGAACCGAGATCACACCACTGCACTTCAGCCTGGGTGACAGAGTGAGACTCTGTCTCAAAAAAAAAAAAAAAAAAAACAAAAAACAACTAAGCCAAGTAGCAAGCAAAGCATCCTGCATGGCTCCAGGCATGCATGCAATCAATGATCAGCTCCTTCCTGCTTTAGGAAGACTCCTTCCCTGAATCAGGAGAGAGGGAGTCCAACCTGGCTGCACTCTCAGAATGATGTAGTCCTACTGCTGGTCAAGCCTGGGGCTGCCAGCTCTGTGCCACCCTGCATCTCACTTGCAGAGTACGTGGTTACCCAGCTAATCACAGGAATTAGGGATCTGCAAAGACTGACTAGGTCATCTAGCTGGAGCCTGGGGCACTGTGGAAGGTGGGAGGAGGGAGGGGGGACAACAGCTTCTAAGGCTGACCGTAGCTGTAGACTCACCCCAGCCTTTTCCCAGGCTGCGTTAACCTGGCTGGCAAAGGGCAGTGATATGACAGCAGGGGAACACTATAGCAGAGAGTGAGCTGGAACTCGGGCCAATGTGTTCAGCCCAGTGACAGCTCCTGGCTCAGTGTCTCCTAGAAGCAGCCCTGGAAGAAGACAGGGACTGCAGGGGCAGCTGCTGGAAGGCGAGCTGGGCACGCAGCCTGGATTCCTGCCCCACCTCTGTCACAACCATTAGGCCAATGGCTCCACTTATTGGGCACCTCCAAGGTGGCAGGTGCTGTGCTAGGTGCTTAACTGAAGAGCTCTTCAACAACCTTGCAAGGAGGGCAAACATGTCCCTGTTGAAAAGATGAGGAAACTGAGGCTAACAGAAGAGGAAGGCTTGCCCAAGGTCACCCACCCTTCTAGACGTTCCTTCTTTTCAAGACATAGACAAGACACCCTTCCGCAGCACACACGGTCCTGCGCAATTGGTTCTGCTTCCTTCTCCTGCTGCACCTGCCCCTTCCTCTCCCTTGGCCTTCCATCAGGTCTCCATGGAAACATTCAGAAGCCTTCCCTAGGCCCCAGAATAGGTCAGGCTCCCCCTCACACCTTTTTTTTTTTTTTTTTTTGAGACAGAGTCTCACTCTGTCGTCTAGGCTGGAGTGCAGTGGTGTGATCTCAGCTCACTGCAGCCTCCGACTACCGGGATCAAGTGATTCTCTGCCTCAGCCTCTCCAGTAGCTGGGATTATAGTATAGGCACCTGCCACCACGCCGGCTTTTTATTTTATTCTATTTTTTTGAGATGCAGTCTCGCTCTCTGTCTTGCCAGGCTGGAGTGCGGTGGTGCAATCTCGGTTCACTGCAACCTCTGCCTCCTGAGTTCAAGTGATTCTCCTGCCTCAGCCTCCTGAGTAGCTGGGATTACAGGCACATGCCACCACGCCTAGCTAATTTTTCTATTTTTAGTAGAGACGGGGTTTCACTATGTTGGCCAGGATGGTCTTGATCTCCTAACCTCATGATCCGCCCACCTCAGCCTCCCAAAGTGCTGGGATTACAGGCGTGAGCTGCCGCGCCTGGCTCCCCTTACACCTTTCACAGTGGCCTCTCCTTTGTCTTTTGGGCACTTTTCGCAACTATACTTATTACTTCACAACCCTAAAAATCGTTATTTGTGTAATTTTTTGTTTAATATCCTTCCTCCTGCATCTACACGATGCCTGGCACATGGGTGACTGTTAATACGTATGTGTGGAAAGCACGGTGACTAAACCTGTAAACAACAAATGAGCGAATAAACCACAAACAAATCTCCCTCCCGCGGCGATGGGCTGGCTGCGATTCCACTGGGACACAGGGACTTGTATAAAGGGGCAGCTCCCTTAGAGTCTACATCATCAAACCTAATAGGAACAGTATCTTGTGATCACTGTGACCTGCAGCCCAAGGGGGTATGCACAAAGCAATCCCAAGATGTGTGCAGTGGGGGGTGGACACCCAGCTCCCTGCATGGGTCAGACCCCAGAGCTGGCCAGTTTCTCTGTTGTCCTCCAATCTGGCTTCCAGTGGTGGCAGCCACTCTCCTGGTTCCTGCAGGAGAGAGACGAAAGTGGCGAGGGGGTGTCTCACAAGGAGAACTGTGCCGGTTTCATTTCTGCTTTGAGGCGAGACACATCCTGTGTGTCAGACTACCCAGGGAGTGCTCCTGTTCTCCCAGCGCCAACCACCAACAGTGCAGTGACCAGGAGCAGGAGACCCTGGGGAGTCGAGACCAGGGACATGGCTGTCATGGCTGTGCAGGGAGCTTGGCCCCAGGCCCCACCCTGCCTCCTTCCCTGCACGGCGGCCTCTCCACAGAGGCCACTCTCACTGGGTTTCTGTCTTCCACACCCCATCTCATTGTGAGGAAAAGCCCAGCCTGGCTGGAGGGGATTAGGAGCAGGTGGGAGAATGCAGACAGGTGCGATCTCTCCTCTGCTCTGTGTGCTCAGTAACCCCAGGCAAGTCCCTGAACTTCCCTGAGACTCAGTTTCTCCTCTGAGAAGTGGGGGTCCCCACTCACCTCCATCAGGGCTGTCCCCAGGCCCTAGCAGGTTGGTGGACACACACTTGTTTGGGGTTCAATATACAAAATAAGCTCTTGCTGTTATCTTTTTTCTGCTTTCTTTCTTTTCCCAAGCTTCAGACTAGCTAGTGGTATATCATGTTCCTTGTACACCTGCTAGGCTCATTCAAAGCAAAATGTTTAGGCAGAGCATGGTGGCTCATGCCTGTAATTCCAGCACTTTGGCAGGCCCAAGGTGGGTGGATCACTTAAGCCCAAGAGTTTGAGACAGCCTGGACAACATAGTGAGACCCTGTCTCTACAAAAAATTAGTGGGGTGTGGTGGCATGTGCCTGTAGTCCCAGCTACTCGGGAAGCTGTGGTGAGAGGATCAACTGAGCCTGGGAGGCAGAGGTTGTAGTGCGCTGTGATCACGCCACTGCACTCCAGCCTGGGTGATAGAGCAAGACCCTGTCTGAAAATAAAATAAAATAGAAAACCAGAATGTTTGGCCTCCGTTACGGGAGCATTTACAGCACTGCCTTAAAATGGGGGAGCACCCTGCACCGCTCAGACACCTTTGCAAAGCTGACTGCCTCGGGTCCTCACCATGATCCCTCAAAGAAAGCTGGAGAAACGCCGTCATCACTGTACCCTCAAACTTGAGGTCGAGTGAGGTGAATGGACTTATTCAGGATCACAGGTAGTTGGCACTATTGTCAGACAAGAGTAACAGTGGCTTTTCCTCAGACTCAGTTCTCAAAATGCTGCCCCACCACCCCCCCCTTTTTTTTTTTTTTGAGACAGAGTCTCCCTCTGTCACCCAGGCTGGAGTGCAGTGGTGCGATCTTGGCTCACTGCAACCTCCGCCTCCCGGGTTCAAGTGATTCTCAGCCTCAGCCTCCTGAGGAGCCGGGATTACAGGCGTGCACCACCACACCTGGCTAATTTTTGTATTTTGAGTAGAGACGGGGTTTTGCCATGATGGCCAGGCTAGTCTCGAATTCCTGGCCTCAAGTGATCTGCCTGCTTTGGCCTCCTAAAGTGCTGGAATTACAGGCATGAGCCATTGCGCCCAGCTCAACAACCCTTATCTCCCAGGTTCTCACACCGACTTCTTGAGTTACGTAACGAAGTCTTGATGATTCCCATCTTGTCGCTAGACGGATGAGGGTCAGGGTGGTTTCAAAAGCCTATGCAGGGTCACCTGGTGAAGAAACAGCAGGTTGAACCTGGGCGCAGCGTTCTGATTCTGAGGAGAAAGGGAACATGAAAGAGATCATTTCCCTACTTGTCTTATCAGACACCGGCTACCACCGTGGAGCTTGGGTGTGTTCAGAGGCCATTGTTCTACCTACATCTGGGGCCAGGAAGAGCAAAGGCTGACAGGTGAGCAAGGCCTTGTGTGGCATGACACCAGGGGACAGGCTGGCTCAGGGCTTCCAGACAATGGGCCATTTTTTGGCTCCAGTGTGCACCCAGGGACTTGCCAGCACTCACCTCTAGTTGTTGAAAGGGCAGGCTGGGTGAGGCAGGTCGGGGAACTCTCTCTGCAGTTCTTCCTTTCAGTTTTTAGTCGTCTTCTCCTGACTGTTCTGTTGCCAAAACCCCCCAGCCCTCCAGCATCCCCTTCCCCACCCCATCCTCCTCACCTGCTAGAACTCTTATGTAGCTGTCAAGTCCCAGCCCAAATGCCCCTTTCTCCAGTCTTCCCCAGCTCCCCTACACAGACTGAAGCCCCCTCCTCTATTTCTTTTTTTCTTGAGACCAAGTCTCGCTCTGTCACCCAGGCTGGAGTGCGGAGGTACGATCTTGGCTCACTGCAAACTCCCCCTCCCGAGTTCAAGTGATTCTCCTGCCTCAGCCTCCCGAGTAGCTGGGATTACAGGCACCCACCACTATGCTTGGCTAATTTTTTTTTTTTTTTTGTATTTTTAGTAGATAGAGATGGGGTTTCACCATGTTGGCCAGGGTGGTCTCGAACTCCTGACCTCAAGTGATCCACCTGCCTCAGCCTCCAAAAGTGCTGGGATTACAGGCGTGAGCCACTGCACCTGGCCAATTTCTTTCTTTCTTTTTCTTTTTCTTTTTTTTTTTTTTTTTTTTTGAGATGGAGTATTGCTCCGTCACCCAGGCTGGAGTGCAGTGGCACAATCTCGGCCCACTGCAAGCTCCGCCTCCCGGGTTCATGCCATTCTCCTGCCTCAGCCTCCTGAGAAGCTGGGACTACAGGCACCCACCACCATGCCTAATTTATTTGTAGTTTTAGTAGAGACGGGGTTTTACAGTGTTAGCCAGGAAGATCTTATCTCCTGACCTCGTGATCCGCCCGCCTCGGGCTCCCAAAGTGCTGAGATTACAGGTGTGAGCCACTGCGCTCGGCCAGCGCCCGGCCAGTTTCTGTACTGCATTACAGATAGCCAATCTGAGACCTCTTCTAGAGGGCTATGGTGGCTGCTTTGCATGTCTGCTTCCCTCCACGAGGAGGGCAAGGCCCACGTTGGTTCAACCTTGCATAAATGTTGGCTGAATGAATGAATTCAATAAATTCTAAATAAGCACCAAATGTGTGATGGGTGCTTGCTGTGGAGGATACAAGGATGAGCAAGATGTGTTCTCTGCCTCCAAAGAGCTTACATTCGATGGGAGAGGCAAGGTACGTGAACAAGGAAAGTGGAAGGAAACACAGAAGCCATGTCCCAGCAAGTGAGCACTCAATATGGCCAGCATTCTAATCTGGTGCTGCCCGTAACTTGCTGGAAGCCTCTAAGCAGGCTTCTTAGCCACTCTGGCCTTGGAACCCAGCAAGAGTAATTCCTATAGATTGACGATGGGGCTGCCATTGGATTCAGATCACAGGAAGGGGCAAGTGACAGGTGCCTCTTCTTCCAAAGTCACAGGAGGGAGGGAGTCCCCCCGTCTAAGCCTCTTACCTGACCACAGTCTAGTTCATGGTGTCTGAAGCTGACACGATTGACATTGGAGGCTGGATAATTCTTTGCTGTAAGGTCTATCCTGAGCATTGTAGGTTTTTTAGAAGTACTCACTAGAGGCTGGGCACAGTGGCTCACACCTGTAATCCCAGCAGTTTGAGAGGCTGAGGTGGGAGGATCACTTGAGGCCAGGAGTTCAAGAACAGCCTGGCTAACATGGCAAAATTCTGTCTCCACAAAAAAAAAAAAACCAAAAATTAGCCAGGCATGGTGGCTCCAGGTACTCAGGAGGCTGAGGCACAAGAATCGCTTGAACCCGGGAGGTGCAGGTTGCAGTCAGCCAAGGTTGTGCCACTGTGCTCCAGCCTGGGTGACAGAGTGAGACCCTGTCTCAAAAAAAAAAAAAAAAAAAAAAAGCATAGAGCAGAGAGACAGCCAGGCATGGTGGCTCAGGCCTGTAATCCCAGTGCTTTGGGACGCTGAGGCAGGAGGATCTCTTTTTTTTTTTTTTTGAGACGGAGTCTTGCTCTGTTGCCCAGGCTGGAGTGCAGTGGTGTGATCTTGACTCACTGCAAGCTCTGCCTCCTGGGTTCACGCCATTCTCCTGCCTCTGCCTCCAGAGTAGCTGGGACTACAGGTGCCCACGAGCATGCCTGGCTAATTTTTTTTGTATTTTTAGTAGAGACGGCTTTTCATCGTGTTAGCCAGGATGGTCTCGATCGGCAGGAGGATCTCTTGAGGCCAGAATTTTGAGACTACTTGGGCAACATAGCAAGAATCCCGTCTCTATAATATTTTTTTTTTAGACGGAGTTTCGCTCTTTTCGCCCAGGCTGGAGTGCAATGGCATGATCTCGGCTCACTGCAACCTCCGCCTCCCTGGTTCAAGTGATTCTCCTGTCGCAGCCTCCCAAATAGCTGGGATTACAGGTGCCTGCCACCATGCCAGGCTAATTTTTGTATTTTTAGTAGAGACGGGGTTTCACCATGTTGGCCAGGATGGTCTCGATCTCTTGACCTCATGATCCACTCACCTCGGCCTCCCAAAGTGCTGGGATTACAGGCGTGAGCCACTGCGCCAGGCCTTTTTTTTTTTTTTTTTTTTTTTTTTTTAATTAGCTGGGCGTGGTGGTGCACGCCTGTAGTCCCAGCTACTCAGGGGGGCTGAGCTGAGAGGATTGCTTGAGACTGAGTTCAGGGTGGCAGTGAGCTGTGATAGTGCCACTGCACTCCAGCCTGAACAACAGAGGGAGACCCTGTATCTCTGAGAGAAAAAAAAAAAAGAGCACAGAGAAGAGGCAAGAAATTGCGTTCCAGTGGCAACTGTGGGACTGAAACAGACTGGAATTCCCCCCTCAGCACTCATCCATCCTGTTGGTTGAGAAAGGAAAAAGTCTATATATAATCTTATGGTCCCCAATGTTTCTCCCAGATGAGTTCAGATGAAAATTCTGGGGCTCAGGGAGAAAAGACTTTTCCAGAGATTGCATAGCAATTCCCCATCTCCCCTCATCCCCATGGGAAAAGAGATTTTCTTGTTGGAAGGACTATGTGCTGATTCACTGAGGAAACAGGAATCTTGCTGCAGCCAGAGAAGCAGATGGAGGTCAAATCTGAAGGCTGGTAGGACTCAGTACTCGGCACCAGCTTTTGCTACATGCAAATGCTACATCCCAGGCATTTCAGGCCAGGTTTAGGGCAAGTGTGTGGCACAGTCTGAAGGCCAGGAGCTGCCTGAAGCACTTGCAGGCTGAAGCCACAGCTGCAGACCAGAAGAGAGGGCACACACAGTGCCTTCCAGATAGAAGCCTGGCAGGGAGGAAAGGCCACTGGTCCTGCCTCAAAGTCACTGAGTCACTGCCCATTCCCTACCAGAGAACCTGTATATGAGGCCATGTCTACATGTTACACTGCATCTGTACCCATGCAGAGATTCACCATACACGTAAGGCAGTCAGTTGAAAGGAACGAAGGGGTCCCCAGGCAGGAACCCAGGATGGAGCAGTGGGTGGCATCTCATTGATACAGCACCACAAAAAGGTGAAGAGGGCAGCACAGTTGGTGGTGACTGGGCTGATTCCCATGAACCTGATTCCCAGTCCAGCTGTTTGTTAGCGTATGGGCGTGGACCCTACTTCCTGGGGCCTTCCACCCCTCAGCTGGTATGTTGATAAGATTATACAATGAGTCAGGTGCAGTGTCCCATGCCTGCAATCCCAGCACTTTGAGAGGCCGAGGTGGGTGGATCATTTGAGGTCAGAAGTCCGAGATCAGACTGACCAATATGGTGAAACCCTGTCTCTACTAAAATTACAAAAATTAGCTGGATGTGGTGGCATGCCCTTGTAGTCCCAGCTACTGGGGAGGCTGAGGCAGGAGAATTGCTTGAACTTGGGAGGCAGAGGTTGCAGTGAACCAAGATTCTGCCACTGCATTCCAGCCTGGGCAACAGAGCAAGATCTCGTCTCAACAACAACAACAAAGATCATGCAATGAAAAGGTGTATGACACATTGCCCAGGACACAGGAAGCACTCAATGGAGTGACCATTGTTATTCTGTGTTTTTCTGAACTTTTCTGGGTAACTGAAGAGGCCTGTAAAATGGCTTCTATTCAGCATTCCCTCCCAGTATTCGCTATCTGCTTCAGCAAGGCCTCACAGATTTGCGCAGTGTCTCTGGCATACATCATGTATCCCTTCCTTTTTTTTTTTTGAGACAGGGTCTCCCTGTCGCCCAGGCTGGAGTGCAGTGATGCGATCTCGGCTCACTGCAACCTCTGCCTCCCAGGTTCAAGTGATTCTCCCGCCTCAGCCTCCTGAGTAGCTCAGATTACAGGCGCCCGCCACCATGCCTGGCTAGTTTTTGAATTTTTTTTTTTTTTTTGAGACAGAGTCTTGTTCCATCGCCCAGGCTGGAGTGCAGTGGTGTGATCTCAGCTCACTGCAACCTCTGCCTCCCGAGTTCAAGCAATTCTCCTGCCTCAGCCGCCCGAGTAGCTGGGACTACAGGCACGCACCACCACGCCCAGCTAATTTTTGTATTTTTAGTAGAGATGGGGTTTCACCATGTCGGCCAGGATGGTCTCGATCTCTTGACCTCTTGATCCACCCGCCCTGGCCTCCCAAAGTGTTGGAATTACAGGTGTGAGCCACTGCGCCCAGCCCTAACTTTTGTATTTTTAGTAGAGACAGGGTTTTACCATGTTGGCTAGGCTGGTCTCGAACTCCTGACCTCAGGTGATCCACCCACCTTGGCCTCCCAAAGTGCTGGAATTACAGGCGTAAGCCACCGTGGCCGGCCCTAACTTTTGTATTTTTAGTAGAGATGGGGTTTCACCATGTTCGCCAGGCTGGTCTCAAACTCCTGACTTCAGATGATCTTGGCCTTCCAAAGTGCTGGGATTACAGTCGTGAGCCACCGCACCTGGCCTGTATAATCTGGTGATAGGCTTCTGATCGGCATGCACATGTCCTCCATGTCTGACCAAACCCACAGATTCCCTGTGGGCTGAGCTTTGTACCTACAAAAAGGTGGATGAGTCTAAGAGACAGGATGAATGGATGGGAGGACTGGAGGATGATGGAGGAGGAAGGCACTGGGTTTGACTACCAGATTCTGGCTTGGACAAGTGGGTGGAAGGAGATGCCCACCAGAGAGAGGAGGAATCAGGAAAGTAGGCAGCAAGGAGACTGGGGCTCATGGGCAGGAAAGTTTGAGGTCCCGCTCTGATGGGGGAGTGACCCAGCATCCTAACGCACCAGCCGCCCCTTCTTCCACCAAATCATTCTGTGGGCCTTCTGCTGGGCAATTGCAGGGGCAGTTTTGGCCTCACACACAGGACACTGAGGATCACAAGTGATTGTTCAGTTCGTATGTGATCTGAACAGGCCAGCGTTTGCTGTGTCCAGCACCATCACTCAATGGCTTGAGAGCACAATGGAGACTCCCATCCAGGAATGTGAGAGCAGCTGTTCAGCTGTTTGAGAGCAGACATTTGCTTACTGTCTTTTTGTAAGACCTTTCATATACGTGGCCTTTTTTTTTTGAGATAAGGTCTTGCTCTGTCACCCAGGCTGGAGTGCAGTGGTGCAATCACAGCTCATTGCAGACCTCCTGAGTTCAAGCGACCTTCCCACCTCAGCCTCTCACGTAGCTGGGATGACAGGTGTGAGCCACCATGTCCAGCTAACTTTTGTTTTTTCTTAGACGGAGTCTTGCTCTGTCGCCCAGGCTGGAGTGCAGTAGCACAATCTCGGTTCACTGCAACCTCCATCTCCCGGGTTCAAATGGTTCTCCTGCCTCAGCCTCCCAAGTAGCTGGGATTATAGGTGCACACCACCACGCCTGGCTAATTTTTGTATTTTTCATAGAGATGGGGTTTCATCATGTTGGCCAGGATAGTATCAAATTCCTGACCTCACATGATCCGACCACCTCGGCCTCACAAAGTGTTAGGATTACAGGCATGAGTCACTGCACCCGGCCCCAAGCTAATTTTTTATTTATTTTATTTTATTTATTCATTTTTTTTGTAGCGACGGGGTCTTCCTATGTTGCTCAGGCTGATCTCAAATTCCTGGGCTCAAGTGATCCTCCCATCTCAGTCTCCCAAAGTGTTGGGATTACAGGTGTGGGCCGACCGTGCCCAGCTACATGTGTCTTCTGATTCTCCAACCACCCAAGGAGATAGCTTCCCATTTCATAGATGAGGGGATTTACATATCTTAGAAAAGGGAAGGTGAAAAAGGAAAAGAAAACAGGTTTTTATCAAAGGCCTGCTCCATTTCCAGGAATTATCCAGGGCTCTTTCACATATATTAACAAACCTATTCTCTCAAAATCATTACATGCAGCATCCATAGCCACGTTTTAAGTTCTAAATAAGTTCAAGTTCTGTGAAGTAACTAAGGAGCCTAGCTAGGAAGGTGGAGACTCAGATGTAAAATCCAGTGCCCAGGCCAGGCGCGGTGGCTCACGCCTGTAATCCCAGCACTTTGGGAGGCCGAGGAGGGTGGATCATGAGGTCAGTGGATCGAGACCATCCTGGCCAACACGGTGAAACCCCATCTCTACTAAAAATACAAAAATTAACCAGGCGTGGTGATGTGCGCCTGTAGTCCCAGTTACTCAGGAGGCTGAGGCAGGAGAATCGCTTGAACCTTGAACCGGAGGCGAAGGCTGCAGTGAGCCACTGCACTCCAGCCTGGGTGACAGAGGAAGACTCCGTCTCTAAAAAAAAAAAAAAAAAAATATCCAGTTCCCAGCCCTGGAATCCAAAGTTCATTCAGTTACTATACATTCAGTCAACAACCATTTCTCCAACATCTACTATTATCATGTACACTTGGGAACAAAAAGATGAACAAAATAGAGAAGCTTTGGCTGGGCACGGTGGCTCACGCCTGTAATCCCAGCACTTTGGAAGGCCGAGGCGGGTGGATCACAAGGTCAAGAGATCGAGACCATCCTGGCTAACACGGTGAAACCCCGTCTCTACTAAAAATACAAAAAATTAGCCGGGCATGGTGGCGGGCGCCTATAGTCCCAGCTACTCGGGAGGCTGAGGCAGGAGAATGGCATGAACCTGGAGGCGGAGCTTGCAGTGAGCTGAGATCGCACCACTGTATTCCAGCCTGGGTGACAGAGCCGGACTATGTCTCAAAAAAAAAAAAAAAAAAAAAAGAAAGAAAGAAAAAAAAAGAAGCTTCTGCCATGGTAGAGTGTAAACATGTTGAGTACCATGCTGGAGAAGTACAAAGTGCTGTGGGAGGATGTAACAGGGCCAACTCTGCTTCTCTGGAGAAGTGACAGTTGAGCTAAGAGCTGATGGCTGACCACCAGGAGTTAGTGAGACAGAGCGGGCATGGAGGGAGGCATGTTCCAGGCAGATGGAACAGAGGGAACAGCAAGTGCAAAGCGTCTGAGCTGGTGCAGAGTTTGTGATGTTCCAGGGACTGTGTGATGGCCAGGGTGGCTGTACAAACAGCCCACCAGACCAGACTGTGCAGGACCATGTGGGCTGCATCTAAGATTTTTGAAGTTCAAGTCACCAAAAAGTTCTAGTTAAGTGGTGGGCAAAATCACAGTGGTTTTATAAAAAGACTGACTGACAAGTGGAGTGAAAGCAGAGACAAATTAGAAGGTTTTCCTGGGGATCTAAGAGAAAGACAAAGGAAGGCTGGACTGAGTGGCAGCTCAGGGCCTGGGAAGAAGAGAATGGATGCAAAGCCATTGAGGAGGCAAATCAACAGAGCTTGTGATGAACTCCACGTGGTGAGATGGCACAGCAAGAAGTGGCAGTCACTGTCGGATTCTCCCCTCTGACCCACAGCTCCTGAACTGCCCTGAGTAGCTTAAGGCAGGGTGCTGAGGTGAAGCACCAAGCTGAGTCTTATCTCAGCAAATCTAAGTTAGGCCGGGCATGGTGGCTCACACCTGTAATCCCAGCACTTTGGGAGGCTGAGGTGGGTGGATCGCCTGAGGTGAGGAGTTCAAGACCAGCCTGGCCAACATGGTGAAACCCCATCTCTACTTAAAATACAAAAAATTAGCCTGGTATGGTGGCAGGTGCCTGTAATCCCAGCTACTCGGGAGGCCGAGACAGGAGAATCGCTTGAACCCAGGAGGCAGAGGTTGTAGTGAGCTGAGATCACACCATTGCACTCCAGCCTGGGCAACAAGAGTGAAAACTGTGTCAAAAAAAACAACAAAAAAAACAACAACAAAAAAAACCTAAGTTAGAGTCTACAAAATGTTTCCTTTGATTTTTTTCAGAATGCCATCATATCTGCGTCCCAGAGCTGAGCTCACCCATTTAGCAAGATTCATTCTGACAGCATGAGCCTGCAGTTACCTTGTAAGTTATACTGCCTGCTCACTGTCCTCACTGGAACCATCCTTGCTCCTGCCCAGTGGCCTATGAAAGAAATCTCTCAATAAACTCCCAGCCAGACTCTAAGCCAGTGAATTCTGAAGCCCTCTCACCATCTGTGACCACTTCATTGACTGCCATGACCCCGGCCACCTGGCACAACTGCCCAGCCCAGGATGGGACTGCTTCTGTGGGGAACTGGGTGGGGAAAGAAATGATGCACGTGGAGCTCTTTATTTGCTTCTGATATGTACAGGTATATACAGTTGGTGAGAGTCTATGGTACATTATTTCACAAAATTATCTTACATCTGTGCACACTCCTGGGCAAGAAGTGGCAGATTCTGCCCCTAATATCCCATAGATGGTGAAGGAAAAGGATGCTACCAGGAGCCACCCCCTTCCGAGGACATTCATGGGGGCCGCCTGCCCTCTTCCCAGACACTGGAGCCCTCCCACGGACAATCTGTGCCTCCCACCTGCTCTGAGCACTTGCTGACAGGAGTGGTGGCAGCAGCAGCAGCTGCTTCCAAAGTCTTTCTTCTAGAGTAGAAGACTTGTCGTGGGGGCCAAAAACAAACAAACAAACAAACAAACAAACAAAAAACAATGGCCCCCACTCACTGATAGCAGCAAACGGACACCTGACTCCTAGAGCCTGCCTGGAATCCTCCGCCCCGGGTTTGAGGGCAGTGGCTCACCCACCTTCCCCCAGCACAGGTGCAGCCTGGCCTCACGGGGCACTGGCATGCATCTTCTCCAGGCAACTTGTCCAGAACGTGACCAGCCGGTTGTCACGGTTGATGCAGAAGTCCGTGAAGTCCTTCAGCAGCCGATCAGCAAACTTTTCATCCCCTGTGGCGCTGGAGCGCCATGTTTTGGTGAGCATGGTGTTGTAGGCCCAGTTGTAGCCGACCCGCTCCTCGCAGAACATGTTCTGGTTGGTGGAGCTGGTGGAGTTCCGCCGCCGCCGCTGCTGCCCTGAGAACTTGCGCTTGGAGTAGGGCAGCTGCAGAAACACTGTTCCTGAAGAGAAAGGGGAGCGCCTGTGTGGCAGCCACCAGGAGGGCTCCTGGAGCCTGCTGAGGTGGTTCTGCAGCCATAGGCTTGGTGCAAGGAAAGGGATGTGGACCCACCTGCCCAACTCTGCCCGTAGCTCCTCACCTGTAACGTGGATATACTGAGGCTTGTTCTCAGCAGGGAAGTTAAAAGCAGAGGCAGAATATTTATCTTGTACAAACCCAAACCTAGGGAAGGACAGGAAGACATGCTAATCAGCGCCTCCTTAGTTAAAGGGGCAAGGGAAGAGAATGTAGCTGATAGGACTCTCGGACAGCCTGAGACACAGAGATCTGGAAAGATCTCTTTCCAGATTGCACATGCAGGCTGCTTATTTTTGTCCTCACCCTCACCACTTTCTGACCTCTACCTCTTCCAACACCATGGCTTACCAGACCTCCTCACACCCAGCAGCCCGTCATCTCCGTGGTCCACCATGTCACTACCACCATAGTGAAAGAAAGCCTTCCCACCGGCTGCACTCTTCATCCAGCCTTCATCTCTGCTCAGACAGCCCGTCCCTCCTACCATGTTCCCTACCCATCCCAGCAGACCTTCCCACTGAGCGTTCTCCCCCATCCCATCCTGGGCCTCTCACTGGAATCTACCTCATGTCTTGACAGGCCACACATACCCACCCGCATACTCGAGGCTATCCATTCCTCCAGGGAAGGTCCTTATCTTTTTTTTTGGTGAGAGGGAATCTCGCACTGTTGCCCAGACTGGAGTGCAATGGCATGATCTCGGCTCACTGCAACCTCTGCCTCCTGGGTTCAAGTGATTCTCCGCCTCAGTCTCCTGAGTAGCTGGGATTACAGGCATGTGCCACCATGCCTGGCTAATTTTTGTATTAGCCAGGATTGTTCTGGAATTAGCCAGGAGAATCACTTGAATCCGGGAGGCGGAGGCTGCAGTGAGCTAAGATCATGCCATTGCACTCCAGCCTGGGTGACAGGGCGAGACTCCATCTCAAAAAGAAAAAAAAAGAGGAACGCCAAGCTGGGGCTCTCTGCTTCCCTGTGCTCTGGAAATGGGCAGGAGGAGCCATTTTTCATCTATGGCTTGTTCTATTCCTGGTTTTTCTATTTCCATAAGGCACATTTATTACAGTTCTACCTGCTAAGAGCTGTAAAGGACGTGGTAACAGATGTGGCTCCTGCCCTCTAAGTCTGAGGGGTTTATATAATGGAGACAGTGATGTAGGCAGAACTAAAGAAGGGAAAATGCCTGTCTTCTTTCCTGGACTGAGTTCCTTGGGGAGGTGCTGTGTTGTATCCTCTACATAATCTGCATTCCATAATTTTTTACCAAAGAATACATGAAGTCAAATATGCAAACTAAATGGGTAGGCTACTATGCACTGTAAGCTCCCTGTCTACAGGCTGATTATATGATGAGGATTGGCTCTGGATTTTGCCTTTGCAAAATCCTCTCTACTCTTGCTCTGTCATCCAGGCTGGACTGCAGTGGTACAATCTTGGCTCACCGCAACCTCCACCTCCCGGGTTCAAGCAATTCTTGTGCTTCCAGCCTCCCAAGTAGCTAGGATTACAGGCACGCGCCACCATGACCAGTTAATTTTTGTATTTTTAGTAGAGACGGGGTTTCACCATTTTGGCCAGGCTGGTCTTGAACTGCTGACCTCAGGTGATCCGCCTGCTTCGGCCTCCCAAACTGCTGGGATTACAGGCGTGAGCCACCACACCCAGCCTGCTTTCTCTCTACTTTCTAATTAAGGCTACTGATTTCCTCAGCATGGATCAGCCTGATTTTTTTTTACCAGAGTAATTTTTTTTTACCTCATTTCTTCCTTAGGTCACCAGGAAAGAACAAAAAGGCAATTTAACCACATGGTTCCTGGCCACCTGACTGTCCACTCAGGGAGAATGCAAGACAGAAACGCAGTAAGGGCAGGGGAGGGGATATAATCATCTCCACCTGCCCCAAGGAAGATGAAGGAGGAGCTGTAGGTCACAGCCTAGGGGCTGAGGAAGATGAAGGAGGAGCGGTAGGTCACAGCCTAGGGGCTGAGGAAGATGAAGGAGGAGCTGTAGGTCACAGCCTAGGGGCTGAGGAAGATGAAGGAGGAGCTGTAGGTCACAGCCTAGGGGCTGAGGAAGATGGACACTTTTTTAGCTCTTTCTGAGATGGACCTTATGGGTGGGCTGATGTGTCATTTAGAGCCACAGTTGCACTTAAAGCTCCACCCTATGCAAAAGCTACATATGAAACTACTCTAGGCAGGCACCTTGCTAGGCATTATAGAAGGAAACACAAATAGGAAAAAGCATACCCCTGCCCTCCAAGGGCCCCCAAGTCACTGGAATACATTCAGAGTGTTTTGAAAGAAAGGGAAAGAGGAATTCAGAGAGGAAACATTTGGGAATCCCTGGAGGAAGATTCTGACAGGTGTGGAACAGGGGAGAGGTTTAAGTGTGAAAGGTGGGAGAGGTTAGGTGTGGAAGGTGGGGGGGCTTAGGTGTGGAAGGTGGAGGGGTTTAGTTGTGGAAGGTGGGGGGCTTTAGGTGTGGAAGGTGGGGGGTTTAGGTGTGGAAGGTGAGGGAGTTTACGTGTATAAGGGGGGGTTTAGGTGTGGAAGGTGGGGGGAGGGTAGGTGTGGAAGATGGGGGGAGGGTAGGTGTGGAAGGTGGAAGGGTTTAGGTGAGGAAGGTGGGGGAGTTTAGGTGTGGAAGGTGAGGGGGTTTAGGTGTGGAAGGTGGGGGGTTTAGGTGTGGAAAGTTGGGGGGGTTAGGTGTGGAAGGTAGGGGGATTTAGGTGTGGAAGGTGGGGGGGTTTAGGTGTGGAAGGTGGGGGGAATAGGTGTGGAAGGCGGGGGTTTACGTGTGGAAGGTGGAGGGGGTTTACGTGTGGAAGGTGGGGGGGTTTAGGTGTGGAACGTAGGGGGGTTTAGGTGTGGAAGGTGGAGGGGGGTTAGGTGTGGAAGGTGGAGGGGGGTTAGGTGTGGAAGGTGGAGGGGGGTTAGGTGTGGAACGTAGAGGTACAGAAGGTGGGGGTTTAGGTGTGGAAGGTTGGGGGTTTAGGTAAGGAGCACACTGCAGCACACTGGTACAATGATGCAGAGGACTGGTCAGAAAACAGGTGAGGGTATCTGTGGTAGAAAAAGCTGGCTGAGGAGGAAAGTACAATAGTTCCTGGGAAGATAGACCAGGATCTGGACTGAGGGGGATCAGGAGGAGGATGCAGTGAAGGAAAAAAGCAGATTTAACAAATAAAGGCCACGTTCTGAGTGACATCCTGCCAGCAGGGCAAGCAGGGTAAGAGCTACTTAGAAACTCGTGAGTTAGCAGGGTCCCCCCTGGTGACTGCTGTCTACTGAGGGCTCACTAGGTGCATCACCGGGCTCTCCAGAACATCAGAGAACCCTCCCAGCTTCCCCGTGAGGGGTAAGAAAATGGAGGCTCACCAGTTCCAGAATTGCTCATGGTTCCTCAGCCAGATGCTGGTGGAGGTGGGAGTGGATAAGGCCTGTCTACTTCGTACATCAAGGCCCTTTCCCATTGACTGCTGCACTCTCTACCTTCTGCCCTGAATCTGCACCACCCACTGTTAGTGGAAGGAGGAAATCAGCCACCCTTGCCTTCATTCCACAGTCTTTGCTAAGCACCTGAGCTAGGTCTGTGAAGGGGTAGACCTTAGACGAAGGTCTAAGGTAAGCTGGGGCCATCGTGGGTGTGAGAGGCTAAATAGTCCTGTGGTTGTATGAGTATATATAAGTATATATATATATATATATATATATATAATAAGGAGATGACAGGATACTGGAGAAGGTGTAATGAGAGGATTACCAAAGCAAGAACAAGGGGCTTTGTTTTTACCATGACTAACATGAAGTGGCCATCAGATACCAGGCTGGTGATGTTTGGAGACAACACAGTCGGCTGGACTAGTCTAGTGGGAGACAGTGAAGTCTAGGACAGGCTTTCCCTGGCACACATATTAGGTGCCAAGAAATATCTACTGACTCATCTATTGCTTTTTAACCATTCATTGTCTTTTCAACCTGTGTTGGGCTCTTGACACATTTTTTAATTTTTCATTTTATATTATTTCCTGAATAGCTTGGCCTAGGGTCTTGTTGGAGGCTAAGGAGAGAGTTCTATGTTCTCCACTCAACTGGAAGAAGAAAATAATGAGGTCTGAAAAACAATAGTTACAGGAAACAGGGAGGCAGCGCTTATCTCAAAAACCAATGTAAAGAGTCCTGTTGGAGATAAGCAGTGAATTTGCCATTGGTGGAATACATCCCTTTCTCTAGGAGCTAAAAAAATGAGTTTCACTTTGGTAACTGCTATTCAAGATAAACACTGATTTCCTTCCCACTCTTCACACTTGCTAAGGGACAAACCTGTGTGCAATGGCTTCCTGGAAGAGGTGCATTCGATCCCAGTACGTTTCGGGTTCAAAGCCTGAAAGGAAAATAAGAATAAATATTGGGTTGTGATCACAAGGTTTGTAATTCTCTCTGGGCCAGTCTTCTGTACCCTTTACTACTCTTGGCAATCAGTCCCCTTGAGCCTAACCTCTGCTTCTCCATACTACGCCCTTTGAGAAAGACTGGCCTCCATCCCAAGGGTCAAAGAAAGGACAGCTGTGTGTTCACACCATCCCTTCCCCCAAGCAAGCTATAGCTGGGTCTAGGAAGGTGAAGTCCTCAGCAGTCAGTGTGAGCTACCAGAACTCAATATAAGGCTCATTCGAATGACTTCTTATACCCAAAGCTGAAAGGAGCATGATATTAAAGTACAAACAGAAGATAAACTGTAAATGCATGTTAGTTGCCATGGTCATAGCTCACTGAAGCCTTGAATTCCCGAGCTCAAGTGATCCTCCTACCTTAATCTCCCAAGTAGCTAGGACCACAGACATGCACCACTATGGCCAACTAATTTTTTTTTTTTTTTTTTTGAGGGAGAGTCTTGCTTGGTCACCCAGGCTGGAATGCAGTGGTGCGATCTTGGCTCACTGCAACCTCGGCCTGCCGGGTTCAAGTGATTCTCATGCCTCAGCCTCCCGAGTAGCTGGGATTAGAGGCACATGCCACCACACCCGGCTAACTTTTGTATTTTAAGTAGAGACGGGGTTTTACCATGTTGGCCAGTCTGGTCTTGAACTCCTGACCTCAAGTGATCCGCCTGCGTCGGCCTCCCAAAGTGCTGGGATTACAGGCGTGAGCCACTGTGCCCGGCCCCAACTAATTTCTACATTTTTAAAAATTTTTAATTTTTAAATCTTTTTGTAGAGATGGCATCTCACTATGTTGTCCAAGCTGGTCTCAAACTCCTGGCCTCAAGTGATCCTCCCACCTCTGCCTCTCAAAGTGCTGGGATTACAGGCATGAGCCACTGTGCCTGGACCATGTAAGCTGCTTCTAAGGAACAACTACTACCCCCACTTTTTTTTTTCTTTTTGAGAGGAAGTTTTGCTCTTGTTGCCCAGGCTGGAGTGCAATGGCACGATCTCGGCTCACCACAACCTCTGCCTCCCAGGCTCAAGTGATTCTCCTGCCTCAGCCTCCCGAGTAGCTGGGGTTACAGGCATGTGCCACAGCGCCCAGCTAATTTTTGTGTTTTTAGTAAAGATGGAGTTTCAACATGTTGGCCAGGCTGGTCTTGAACTGCTGACCTCAGGTGATCTGCCTGCCTCGGCCTCCCAAAGTGCTGGGATTATAGGCGTGAGGCACTACACTCGGCCCACCCCCACTTTTTTGTATTACCAATCTTCCCACAAGAAAGGGCAAATATTATAAGCTCCATTCTAGAGGTAGGAAAATTGAAGCAAATAAATATAAAAATAAAAATTTGGGCCAGGTGCGGCGGCTCACACCTGTAATCCCAGCACTTTGGGAGGCTGAGGTGGGTGGATCACCTGAGGTCAGGAGTTTGAGACCAGCCTGGCCAACATGGTGAAACCCCGTCTCTACTAAAAGTACAAAAATTAGCTGGGCGTGGTTCCACATGCCTGTAATCCCAGGTAATCGGGAGGCTGTGGCAGGAGACTCACTTGAACCCAGGAGGCGGAGGTTGCAGTGAGCTGAGATTGCGCCACTGCACTCCAGCCTGGGCGACAGAGCAAGACTCCATCTCAAAAAAACTAAAATAAAGTAAAATAAAATAAAAGTTTGAAGAGTAATCAGCTGGGGAGGAGAGCAGAAAAGATAAGTCCGCTCCTCCATAACCCACTTTGTTACTCCAGCCTCATGCCTTCTGCAAGGCTGTTGCTGAGAACCAAGAGTGGAGGGGGAAGGGTGGAGGGCTGTGGAGGGCTGGGGAAGGCTGTCGCACAGCACCAGAGGACAGAGTCCGGGCTGCTCTCAGGGAGGAGGTGCTGAGGCCTGGGGTGGTAATTGCACAGCCATCCCAAAGACAAGAGTGCCTGCGGTGGTTTTGCTAATCTTTCCACATTTGGAATTTTCTACCTGGGATGGATTTGAGGATTTAGGGCAACTAAAGAGCAAAAAGCCAGGCACAGTGGCTCATGCCTGTAATCCCAGAACTTTGGGAAGCCGAGGCGGGCAGATCACCTGAGGTCAGGAATTCAAGACCTTCCTGGCCAACGTGGTGAAATCCCATCTCTACAAAAATACAAAAAAAATTACCTGGGCATGAATGGCGTGTGCCTGTAATCCCAGCTACTCAGGAGGCTGAGGCAGGAGAATCACTTGAACCCAGGAGGCGGAGGTTGCAGTGAGAGGACATCACGCCACTGCACTCCAGCCTGGGTGACAGAGCGAGACTACGTCACAAAAAGAAAAAAAAAAGGGCAAAAAGCAAAAAAGACTTTGGCTTTAAACAGAGAAAATCCACACACACAGCACACTCTTGTCAGATTTTTAAGATTTTGAATTTGCTGCTATAGGAAATGGCAAGAACAAAAAGAGAAGAGGCACAGAAGCAAGAAAATTGATTTTTAGATTCAAATCCTTATTGCTTTAAACTGGGACCCTTTCTGCAGCTGTAACCATGGCAACCAACAGAGGCTGCTGGTCTTGAAGACTGAGTTACAACTGGCAGGGAAAAACAACTTGCACAAAAATGTCCTCCAACGCCAGCCCTGTGGGCAATCCTGTGCTGTTATAGCAAAGGTGAAAAACCCCCAAAGAGTCTTTGGACAGTTTCGGGGGAAGATCTCTCTGTTCCTTCAACATAATAAAAACAATAGTACCAGGAGCTGCTTGGCTTAAAACTGCCCCATATGAACACAATCATCTGGCATTTCAGGACTGCATAAATGGTCCTCTCTCAGCCACATCACTGTGAGGTTAAACAAGAACATGTGTGTTTCAAGGGGGCTTTGTAAGCTCTGTGTGTCCCACAGTCTATAGCCCCCAGCAGGTAGGGCCTCTGTGGGGCTTGCTTGGGACCCCGATTATCACTTAGAACATTGTGTCTATAAAAAAAATCTTCCAAACTGCAAACAAAAAATACACGGATGGGCTTTTGGAAGAAAAGCTGTTTGCACCATGAGGGCAGCCTGTCACATGGAAATTGCAGGAATACTTTGCTTGGCCTAATCCACCTGGGGAGATCTCCTTATCTTTTGGGCTGGTTCTCTGCCGCTGATCACGACACAGACTTACAAGGGGACAAGAAGAAAGCATCTCTCTTACGTCAAATGTTGTTTCCTTCACAGTTCTAATCTTTATACCTGAGAAACCTCAGGGCTCCTGACGTATCAGCATCAACCCTAGCTTTGCGTTTTAAAAAAGATCATCTGTGAACTCATCAAAAGCTTTGTAGGAGCTATTTATATGTGCATCCACAACGAGCACTTGGTAATAAAAAGCTATATGCTGTGTCAAGTACAGCTCAGCTCGTCTTTGATCTGTCCTAAACCTGCCCTCTGGGTTCTGGGCTCTGGGGTAGAGCAGCAGGTCCAGGCTGACCCTGGGTACTCTCTTTCTGATTGAAAACCTTTCCCAGAGGGAAAGGCTCTGATTTGGTTCCTGCTATCATCCTCTGATCCTGCTTTGTCTTCCCTGAGATGCATGACTCGAGTCACACGCACCATTCCAGAGGCTGACATGCCACAGCTTTGCACAAAAGGATGCTGTTTCCTGTTTTGCTTTTCATGCCCTCCCTTTCCTGGCCTTTTTGCACGAAATAGCATATGCAAGTCTCCCGTGAGGTTTAAATCCCTGCAGCCCAAACCAGTTAGGCTGGAGCATATGAAAGGAGAGCGTGGGAGAACACCAGTGCTGCCTGTGATTTATAGAGTTTAGCGCCCTCTCCCACCCACCACTTTGCTCCAGGCAGCTCTAGACACTCTCATTTTAGGAATAAGGAATTCGAGACTCAGAGACATGAAATGATTTGTCCAGAGTTATCCAGCCACTAAGTCAAGAATCAGGATCCTTTAGAACCTTGATCCTTTTGGCCCCTTGTTGAAAGGCTGTCCCTTTTCCCTAGTCCGTGTTGACTGGATACCCAGAGTGGTGTCCTTGTTAGGGACGGGGTCTTACTGGTTGAGACAACCTCCAGAAGGGAATATTTCTTACTATCAAACAGGTGCTCGCTGCCCTCCTTGAGCAAGCAGCTGATGTTGAGTGGGATGAAGAGCTGGGCACGAAGGGGGTCGCCATACAGGTAACTGGGCAGTGCAAAAGGCCCCTCCAAAACTGGGACTAACAAGAAGCCACAGGAGGTGGCTTTCCGATGCCAACCTTGGACCTGGCGGAAAGTACAGAAACAAACAATATCATCTCCAAGTTCTTTCAAACAAGAGAAAATACTTCCCAAGGAGAAAACCCGCCAGAAAGGCAGCATGCATATTGATTTGCATGCTCATTTATTCATGTTTGCTGGCTGCAAATTGGTCCTGGACAGGCAAAAATGCAGTTTAACATCCTGACAAATACTACAAAAACTGTGAGCTAAGCACACAGCTCCTCTTTACAGCCCAAACTTCTGCACCTTCGGTGTTTCTTTTAGAAAGAACGGTCTGCAGAGAGTTGAAATCCTTCCCATTCTAGGGGATGTTGGAGAAAGGTCACAGGATAGAGGTTAAGTCCTTCTAATTTTGTCCTTTTTTTTTTTTGAGACAGTCTTTCTCTGTTGCCCAGGCTGGAGTACAGGGGCCAGATCTCAGCTCCCTGCAACCTCCGCCTCCCAGGTTCAAGCAATTCTCCCACCTGAGACTCCCAAGTAGCTGGGACTACAGGCGTGCACTACCACATCCAACTAATTTTTGTATTTTTAGTAGAGACGGGGTTTTGCCACTTGGCCAGTATGGTCTCGAACTCCTGACTCAGGTGATCCGCTGGCCTCAGCCTCCCAAATGCTAGGATTATAGGCATGATCCCAGCCTAATTTTGTACTTTACCAGGAATTTAATAAGTTCAAAGTATCAAATAGGAAAACAACTCACTCAGGCTGGCTGAGAGAAATGTGATGGAGGAGGGGAAATGACCACAGTGGCTTCTGATAATGGTAAGCCCTGACCTGACAGAGTGAGAGCCACTCTCTGGCAGAGTCCCAAATCCTATCTGTCCAAAGATGAGAACAAAAGTTACTGGGGCAAAAAGATAAACCTACCATCAATAACATTTTCTTAGGGAACAGTGGCAATTTTCTAGATCTTGAGATACTCTTTTTAACCATAAAAATGATGTATGTTAAAAAAAAAAAAGGTTGATCGATGTGGTTCTGGCATACAGATGATTTTTGTGTCAAGTATTATTTCCAAAAAAATAGAGTTGGGACACAGCTTGACTTAAACAAATGATTATGTAAAAAATTAAAGGGTACCACCCTTATCTTTTCTCTCACGGAATGTTCATAACAAAAATAACAACAAAAAGCCGAGATCTCTGTTTGACCGAAATAATTCCTAAGCCTTGGTCAAAAACCTTTTTATTTTATGTAGTATTTGTCTCAATAAAATCTGATTTTTAACAAATGTGGACATTGCCTTAAATAATAATTAACTTACATACACTGAAGTTTTAAAAGCTTAATAAAATAATGATAAAGAGATTAGCAGCTTTCAGTGGGTTTTACATGAACAGATGTGAAAGGTGTACTTTACAGAGACAGTTGCTAAATTCCTCTAAGGAAATGAACACTGTCCTTCCTGCCCAACTATAACTATATGTGTGTGTCTATCAATGCTGTGGTCATGCTGTTTTGGGATATGCTTATCTAGTAGGGCCAGCAAGGAGAGTGCTTATGCCTACTGGGTCAGAGAGTTAGTTTTACCTGAAAGAAGTGGTCATGCTGGTATCAGTGAGCTGGGGAAGGGCTGGTGTCCTCTGTGAGCTGAGCAGAATGAGCAGCAGGCTGTCTTTTTTTATTTGGACCTTAAGGATGTTCCCCAGATGAGAGTCTTTCCAAGGGAGGGGTCCTTGAAGATGCTAATGCCATGTGGAGGCAGACAGAGACCTGGAAAAATTGCTTTCCCAGGATACCATGTTTTGTGGGACAAAACTTAGCCTATGAGCTCTGGACAAAAAAAAAAACCTGCTGGCTCATGCTGTACTCATTTCTCTTTGCTTATCTCCTAGCTTTTAGTAAACTCTTTTTGAACTTCCCAGCTGTTCTCTGTTGTATGAAGAGATGGCTGGGCTGGTGTTGAGAGAAGCGAGATTCAGTAGAAGCCACAGAAGAATATTCTTTTTGGCTATATTGGAGAGTGTATAAAAAGGAGTGGCACACTATAAAGATGGTTAAGGAGCTGTCCTGGAAGATACTGACAACTTGGCTAAGGAGTGAGCACTGCGATGGGGGATGGTCAGGTATGGCTTCTTAGTGTAGGAGCAGTGAATGGCCTGATTACAGATGCAGGCCAGGATGAACTAGAAGGAGAAAGGACAGGCAGGAAGACCAGTTAAAACAGGGCTTCTCAACCTTGGCACTTGTGACATCTTGGGCTGGTTATTCTTTGTTGTGGGGGCTGCCCTGTGCATTATAGGATGATGAGCAGCTTTGCTGGTCTCTACCCACTAGACACCAGTAGCACCCACCCTGCCCTCACCCCTTTCTTTCTTTCCTTTTTTTTTTTTTTTTTTTTGAGACGGATTCTCGCTCTGTTGCCCAGGCTGGAGTGCAATGGCGCGATCTCAGCTCACTGCAACCTCCACCTCCCAGGTTCAAGCGATTCTCCTGCCTCAGCCTCCCGAGTAGCTGGGATTATAGGCAGTGCGCCACCACGCCTGGCTAATTTTTTGTATTTTTAGTAGAGACGGGGTTTCTCCATGTTGGTCAGGCTGGTCTCGAACCCCCAACCTTAGGTGATCCTCCTGCCTCGGCCCGGGATTACAGGCGTGAGCCACTGCTCCCGGCCTTCTTTTTTTTTTTCCTTTTTTTTTTAAGATGAAGTCTCACTCTGTCACTCAGGCTGGAGTGCAGTAGCATGATCTTGGCTCACTACAACCTCCATCTCCCAGGTTCAAGTGATTCCCCTGCCTCAGCTTCCCGAGTAGCTGGGACTACAGGCGTGCACCACCATGCCTGGGTAATTTTTGTATTTTCAGTAGAGACAGGGTTTCACCATGTTGGCCAGGCTGGTTTTGAACTCCTGACCTTGAGTGATCTGCCTGCCTCGGCCTCCCAAGGCGTGAACCTCCGTGCCCAGCCACCCTTTTCTGTCTTCAGATATTGCCAAATGATCCCGGGTGGCAAAATCCGCCCAGGTAAAGAACCACTGAGTTCAAAGCAGTGATGTTTATTAACAGGGGACTGGTTAACTATGGTTAAACAAATAATAGAAAACTCTCCAGCCCTTAAAAACAACGAGGCAAAACAAAAACAAACAAAAATCCCAATAACAATAATAATAAAAAAAATCCCAAGGCAGATTTATTTGTACTGACATGGAACACATAGGTGATAGAAAAAATGCAATGTAAGTAGTATGTATCCAATGCTACCATCTCTGCTGAAAAAAAAAAAAAGTAACGTGATTTTGTCCATGCTTAGAATCTCTCTGGAAGTTTACTCAACAAAGCAGAAGTAGATCCCAGGGAATGAGAGTGGGAAACAGACTTACTTTTCACTCTAAACCAGTGATTCTCAAGAGGGAGCAATACTCCCCCTTCCTGGGGACATGTGACAATATCTGGGGACATTTTGCTTACCACACCTGGGGCTGTGCTACTAGCATTTAGTGGGTAGAGGCTAGGGTTGTTGCTCAATTTCCCATAAGGTGCAGGACTCCCCCACAGAGAATTATCTGGCCTCAGATGTCAATACTGCTAAGGCTAAGAAACCCTGATTCTACCTTTTTTGATTGCTTAAAATTTTTACTATGTTTAAATTTTTTAAAAAGGTTACTCCAATAGTCCCGATGAATGGTAATAAGAGCCTGAACTAAAAAATTAAAGTGACATGAATCTCTATCAAGCATCTCCATGCCCACTGTGAGGTGAGCCAAAGGCCTGACAACATGCATGAAGGTTCTCACCATCTCGAAGAGTACTGCTGCGGTCACCGCCATCCAGTGCAGCTTGATCTCAAAGGCTGCATTCAGAGAAAAGTTGCCATGGTAATAACAGCTGCACCACTCCAGCCGGTCTGTGCGGTTGTTCACGTCAACATCCAGGGTCACAGTCCTCTGCTCTGGGACAGTGGCAGCTATGTCAGCACACAGGAGGGGCCCCAAGAGAGTGAGAAAAGGAGTGGGATGAAGAAGAACAAATAACTAAGTATCCAGATATGAAACTATATACAAGTGCCTAAAAGAAAACTGCAGATTCCAGAAGTTTCCTGGAAATCATCTAGATATTGGAAACCTTTCTGTAAAAGGCCCCATTATAAATATTTTACATTTTGTGAGACATATGGTTTCTGTTGCAACTACTCAACTCTGCTATTGTAGTGCAAAAGCAGCCACAAACGTTACATAATGAAGGTGCCTGGCTGTATTCCAATAAAACTTTATAAAAGCAGACTGAGTTTTAGGGCGGTTAAACTATTCTGTAGGATATCATGTTAGATACGTGTCACTATACATTTGTCCAAACCTACAGAATATACAACACCAGCCGGGCACAGTGGCTCACGTGTGTAATCCCAGCACTTTGGGAGGCCGACGCAAGCAGATCACGAGGTCAAGAGATCGAGACCATCCTGGCCAACATGGTGAAACCCCATCTCTACTAAAAATACAAAAATTAGCTGGGTGTGGTGGTGCACACCTGTAGTCTCAACTACTCAGGAGGCTGAGGCAGGAGAATCGCTCGAACCTGGGAGGCAGAGGTTGCAGTGAGCCGAGATCGCGCCATTGCACTCCAGTCTGGCAATACAGCGAGACTCCGTCTCAAAAAAAAAAAAAAAAAAAAATACACCACCAAAGAGTGAACCCTAAAATGTAAACCATGGATATTCTGGGTGACAATGATGTCAATGTAGGTTTATGGATTGTACCTTGTAAAAAATGGACTACTCCGTCTGGGGATGTTGATAGTGGGGGCAGCAGGTTGTGGGGGTGGAGGTCAAAGGATGCATAGTAATTTTCTTTCTTTCTTTTTCAGAGATGGAGTCTCACTATGTCACCCGGGCTGGAGTGCAGTAGCGTGATCTTGGCTCACTGCAACCTCTGCCTCCCAGGCTCAAGTGATTCTCTTGCCTCATTCTCCCAAGTAGCTGGGATTACAGGCATGCGCCACCACACCCGGCTAATTTTTGTATTTTTAGTAGAGACGGGGTTTTGCCATGTTGGCCAGGCTGGTCTCAAACTCCTGACCGCCGGTGCTCCACCCGCCTCGGCCTCTCAAAGTGCTGGGATTACAGGCTTGAGCCACCATGCCCGGCCAGATGTACAGGAACTTTCTATTAGATTCTGCTATGAACCGAAAACTGCTCTAAAAGAAATAGTCAATTATAAATGAACAAATGGTGAGCCAGATTTGGCTGCTTAAGCCATAGTTTACTTCTCCCTAAGTAATCCAACCCCTTCATTTACAGATGAGGAAATGGCAGCCAGGGAGGGAAGATGCCTTGGCCAAGATGATGGAATCAGAACCTCAGCCAGGCTAAACCCCAGATCTTTTTATTTCAGTGACCTATGAAGAAACACAATGGGCAAACAGCACAGACCACCAGTGACAAGTCTTGCTTTTCAGGTTTCAACCCAGGAAGACAGTAGTTCTACAATCTTTTCTCAAGAAATGAAACCTTATAATGAAGCTTAACACCCTGTCCTATCATTGACATGTTGCTCAAGGATGCTGGGTGAGTACCAAGCTTACTCATCCTATCTGGGACTTCTGCTCAGAAATCCTACCAACTCAAGATAGGATGTTTCAGAGACGTGTCAATCAAGTTCCTGACCAGGCTAAGGCCCTAAAATACGCTCAGAAGCAAAGAAAAGGTCAGGCTTCTGTTCTGCCTGGCTGGGCACTGCCAGACCTAGGGTTTCTGTTTGTTTTTTGCCTCCCTGAGGCACAGTCTTAAGAGATCCTGAGAACATGTACCCCCAGACCTAGGGTTTCTATAAACTATAATCCACCCCTCATTCTCCCTTACCCCCATGAATTCAACAGTTTTCTTCAGCTGAAGTGGTCAGTTTAGTTCTGGGTTCTGCAGATAGAAGCCCTGAGTGGGTTTTTCTCACTGACAAAGATAAACAGCTCTTGCGTCAGCAATTTTAATGAGCTTCTGTTGTAAGGCAGGAGAGCTCCAGCTAGGTCACTAATGGCATTCAGGCAAACTGGCATTCAGCTGCCAGATGTACCACTCACCATTCTCTCAAAAGACTAAGTCCAGGAAGTGTGGTTAGCAAGATGAATATGAGAGCAGAGATTAACCAAAAGTTGACAGAAACCGGAGTAA